>NC_000011.10:80752665-81055696 GCF_000001405.40 Homo sapiens
TGTCTCAGGATCCTCAGAAAGTATGTGAAGGGTGAACTAGACTACCTAAGAGTACTGGGACTACTATAAGGATAGCTAAGGAAAGAGTACTTGGAAAGCTGCAGCGTTTGAGGTCATGATTATTTCTTTTACATGTTTCTCCGTTCCTCCAATTATAAATTCCTCAAGGATAATAAACCAAACTGATGTTTCTGTGTACAGGTCCCATTTGTAATGAAATTTTTAATACAGAAAGATGTTCAAATATATTCTCTGAATGAGTGAATTTTCACTTAAACATTCTAATTTTAATAAAATGTTTCCCAGGATTACTTTAATATCTATCGCACATTCTCTTCGAATTTTTGTGAGACAATGTATTATTTCAGGATCAGCTGAATTTAATAGGCTTATTATACTTTGACCAGTTTTTTACTAGTAAACAATCTGTCAGTATAGGAATAATTCATATTAAATCCAGTGTAATTTATGTATAGATAGTTTGGGTTTTGTTCATTTGACTTTTTACTTGTTTCTAGATAGATAGATAGATAGATTAGATAGATAGATAGATAAATTTAATGTAAGATGCAGGCTCATGAGATTTTGGAGGCTGAGAATTTCTACAGTCTGCAGGCTGGAGAAGCAGGAAAGCCAGCAGTGTAATTAAAAGCCCTAAGAGTTAGAGAACTAGTGGTATAGATTTCAGTCTGTCTGAGGGCCTGAGAACAAGACCACTATAGATAGCTTCAGATTGATGTCACAGCTCAAGCACTCAAGAGAGTTAATTCAACCTTCCACAATTCTGTTCTATGCAGGTACTCAAGGGATTGGATAACACCCACCCACATTAGGGAGGGCCATTGGCTTTACTCAGTCTATCAACTGAAATGCTAACCTCTTCCAGAAACACCTTTACAGACACACCCAGAAATAATGTTTAACCAGATATCTGGCATCCAGATATAGCCCAGAGATAGCCCAGTCAAGTTGACACATAAAATTAACCATTATATCCATATATGCTAAATCTATGATAATAAGACTAAGAGTTGAATTAGGATGGGGAAGACCTGAGTCACAGCTATGACTTTTGTTCCTCTGATAAGTTTTTCATCATGAAAATGATCATCATTTTCTCAGCCCTGGCTATATTAGGATTTTATTGTGAGAATCAATACTATCACTTTACTATTTCAGTAATAACTATAGCAAAAACATTAATATTCATGACCAACATAACAACTCCACTATATCCAATATCACCTTTTACTGGGGACTTGCTAGATGCCATACATTAGAGCCAGACTTTAGGTACATTACATCATTTAATTTAGAGTAACCAATGAGACATGCTCTATTATCTTCATTCTATTATCTTTCTTTTTTACACAATTTTCTTGGCATAAGAATATGCTTTTGATATAATAATAATGAAATCAGGCAGAAAACAATACGTGGTGCAACATGATCTTTACCACATAAATTTAAAATGCAACCAAGGAATAAAATCAAAGAAAAATATGACTCTCAAATCAAATAAAGTGGCTTAAACATTTTATCTCTATCTTTGGTCTCTCCTATGCCATGGCAAGACTCCTTTATAATTCCAGTAGGGTTGCTAGATTCAGCCAATAAAACTACAGACTATGCAATCAAATTTAAGTTTCAGCAAAACATCACATATTTTTAAATATAAACATAAACCACCTATTGCACGGAACATACATAAGCTAAAATTTATTCGCTGTTTATCTGCATTTAATTTAGTTTGATATACTGTATTTTCTCTTGCAACGCTATTTCCAAAAGCATCTTAAGGGTATGGTATATATAGAATTTAAAAGTACAGACTTTGAAGCCAGGCTCAAACTTCACCTCTGATATCTTGTTGCTTATACAAAATCTGATTCCCTTCTCTGTTTGAATTTCTTATCTTAAACTAGGGGAAACAATAGTACCTACCCAATAAAGTTTTGAGAAAAATTAAATGGGTTAAAAGAGAAACTTTACTATAATACCTAAGATAATGTAAAAAAAAAAAAGGTATTTTAGTAATTTTCTGTAGCAGAGGACTTCTCACTTCTCACACTGATTTATAATTGTTCATTTATCTTTGTTTCCTACATACCACGAGATATTTGAGAACATGGTATATTTTTTAATACTATATCTAAATTTACAACATTATTTTTGATACCTGGTATATATTCAATAGCTATGACCTCTGTCCCTCTGATAAATCAGAGTCTGTTCCTCTGATACTTTAATACAACAAATATCTGTTGAATAAATATATCTTTAGTAGATTTCTAAGTTACATCTGATATATTATTCTGTTCCATAGTGCACTGTTCATTTGTTTAAAATGTAAACTTATAGTCCCTACCTGAAGCCATCTTTATGGATATCCTATTAGCAGAGATTAGATGATCTGCTCTATTTCCTTTCTTATAAAATTTAGGGGGCAGAAGACCGGAATACCTACTTCATAGAGAAGACCAAAGTGCCTCATGTGCCAGGGTAAAACACAGAGTGGGATGGCTCTTCTGTGAATGTCCTTCTCTGAATATTATCTCCTGTTTTAGTCGCCACTTTGTCTTTCATGGTTAGAGTTGGTCTGTGTCACTCTTCATAAGACGGCCACTTCACAGGCAGCCTCACATATCTGAATCCCAATGCTCTTGGGTTCACGCTAATGTTCTGTTCTGGATCAAGCTTTTTTTTTTAATTATTATTTATTTATTTATTTTATTTTCCCAACCATTTTCTGTCAACCACTACTTAAAGCTTAATTGGAATGAAACTGAACTGGGGATTATCAGTCTTAGTTGTAATTTATAACTGCCTCACTGTTCTTCCAATATACCTGGAGAGCTTTCTAAGGTCACTGATGCTTCACAGAAGACTTGACAGTCACTCTAGTTACAAGCAATTCTGTTTGTTCACTCAGAGTTTCTCATTCTCATTTCAATGTCTCAAAAAAAAAAATCACTGGAAACAAGGCTGTGGTTTCTACTTCTTATATAGTTATGCAATACAAAGGCGAGACTGAATGCAACTATCATTTATTGTTTGCCAGGAGGGTTCAAGTATATGCTAAATGCTTTACATATGCTTTCTATTTTAATTCCCACAGCACGCCTGCAATATAGGTATTATTTTCCCATTTTATGTATCAGGAAAGGTGAAGTGGCTCACCCAAAGACACAGTCCTGCTAAGTGGCAGAGGTACATTCAAAATCCACATCTGTTTTCTCTGCACAGTATGAGGTTTTAAGGACAATGTGTTTTAGGAGAAACCTGAGTTCAACTCCAGGTTCTGCTTTTAAATAACTGTGAACACTGCATCAATGCAATCAATGTAATTCATTTTAGTTCAATTCTACGTTTACTGAATACCTGCTGTATATAAGATTGTGCAAGATGCCACAAGAAATAAAAGTTGAAAAGGAAATGGTGTAGGTTCTCATCAAATTAAAAACACAGTAAAAAAGATTAGCTATACATGCAAAAGCTGCACTGGAAAACAAGATATGACAAGTCCTGTAAAATATATATAAATTGGTTACAGACATACAGAAAAAAAGAAAAGTTGTCAGAGAAGATCAGGAAAAGGAAAATTTGAGCAAGTCACTCAAGGCAAGGGAGTATTAATAGTTAATTTTGAATGTCAACTTGACTAGACTAAAGAATGTCCAGATAGCTGGTAAAACATTATTTCTGGGTGTGTCTATGAGGGTGTTTGTGGAAGAGATTAAAATTTGAATTGGTAAACAAGTAAAGAAGACCTTCACCAATGAGGTTGGCAGCATCCAATCCTTTGAGGGTCTAAATAGAACAGAAAGGCAGAGGAAGAGAAAATTTCCTTTCTGTTTGAGTGGGGATATCCATCTTCTCCTATCCTGGAACATTGTTCTTCCTGGTTCTTGGGCCTTTGAACTAGGACTAAATTACCCTACTAGCTTTCTTTGTTCTCCAGTTTAAAGATGTCAGATCATGAGACTTCTCAGCCTCTGTAATCACATGAGCCAATTGTTAGAGTTCCAAAAATAATTATTTTTCTCTCTCTTCTCTCTCTCTCTTTCTCTGTGTGTGTGTGTGTGTGTGTGTGTGTGTGTGTGTGTGTGTGTATCTCATATTGGTTTTGTTTCTTTAGAGAATCCTGAGCAATACAGCAGTTTCTCTTAGAGCTTGAGAGACAGCACTATTGAATTAGAGTGTCCTGGACTTATCCTAGCTTTACAGCTATTATGACTGTTAGCAAAGTGCTTAACCTCTTGCAGCCTTGATTTCTTCACTGTCAAAAAGGGATAATAATATTTTCACCTAATGAGAGTTTTCGGTGGTTGTGAGAAGCAGATATGCTAGATAGCATTTGTCAAAGCACCTAGCACACCTGCTGACACAAAGTAAGCAAACACTCAATAAAGATTAAAACTTAAGACAGGAGAATTCATATTTTTGATAAGCAGCATGGAGGATGGGAGGACAAAATTGAAATCTCCAGGGACAAAATAAGTAAAAACATAGAAGGCAAAAAAAAAAAAAAGGAAGAAATGTGTTTGTGAGACAGAATATATATAATTGATGGTAGGATGTAAGCTGATTTGAAAGGGAGGGAGTAGAATGCAGTGTCAGGCTGATGGTATGAGAATGATCGAAGTGAGGTATGACAGGTGGTCCTGATATGGTACTGCTCACAGAGGCTGGATTTACTGCGCGGGAGCAGAGCTGGCCAAAGGAGAACTGGCAGATCTTGGCAACTCTTGAGTTATGGTCTGGAAAGGGATGGGCTAAATCTAATCTTATGCTTTTGCCTTCTGTGTAACAGAGTCCTTCAAAGAGAAAGAAAAAACAAAACAAAACAAAAGATAAAGGTTGCCATAAAAAAAAAATATATATATATATATATATATACACACACACACACACACACATATGTATCTTTGGTTTGGTGCAACGTAAACTTCAGTTGATGAATGTGGAGCTTGAGAAGGAACTTTGTTACAGGAAATCTAACAGTGGATTGAGTGCTCAACTTACTCTGAATTCTATAATTATATGTTCTTTATAATCCTCACAACATACTATAAAATAGAAATCATAAGGATTATTATTTTACAAATGAAAAAACTGAAGTTTCAGGGGTTTTAGTCACCCATCTAAAGTCATGAAGCCACAATGTGGCTAAGCAAGAGTTTGCACCGAGGCCTAATTTCAGCACCCATGATTTTATCTAGTATACAGTACTGTCTCTCTTGAAAACAATCAATCCAAATAAGTTAAATCCATTGGAACATCTTAGTGTATGATGGTAAAAACAATCTAGATAATGATACAAAGTGATATCTTCAGTAAATTATTAATTACTCTAAAATGTCTTTGTTTTACTAGTAGTTTTGCTAATAAATATTAATCTCTAATAGACAGTTCACACTTAGCCAATCCATTTGATAATCAGTTTATTTATTATAGAGCCTTAACACAGTTATTATGTAGTTCTTTAAGGATCTGAACCAGGAGGATAGCATTTACAAAGCTGGGGTTTATAACCAGAGAAGATCATAGAATTTATGACAGTTGATCTCTACACATAAGGGAATAATGAGTCTTTTTTAATCTAAGAGAACTGGAAAGTCTGGTTTTTGAAAGGGTTCCTTGGCAATTTAGATATTACCTCAGTTTTACAGAGGAGGAGAAGGTTCAGTGATCCTTTTCAAAAGCACATAGAATAAGTGTTATAAGTGTTATAAGTATTGGAACCGAGATTTAAATTTGGAAATATTTTATTTCCATCCTAGAACTAGAGACAGATCATGAAGAATTGACAAGATTTGATCTTTATTTTCAAATAAAATACAGTCCAGTTGAAGAGTCAGGTATGTAAACACACACATGAAAAGAAACACAAGATGGAACAACTGAGCTCATTTGGGTAAGACTATTATATGAGCTCGAGTAAGAAAGCTCAGTAGGATTTTAGTCAGACAAAAGAAGGCAGTAGAAGGCATTTCAGACCAAAATAACAGAGTTGTAAAGGCATGCTGTTACTAAATGGTGTGTATTGAAAACAGGGGGTATTCTATTTGTCTGTAGCATGGAATACGAGGAGATGGAGGGCAGAAGAAGGGCTACATTGTGAATAAGCTGAAATTTCGAACTAAAGGTTTTGAATTTTATTTTGGTGATGAGTAGGAAAAAATTAAGGGACAGAAATAGATGAATTCTAAAATTCTTAAACTGTATGTCTGTAAAGGAGTCATAGTGTAGAAGTTGACAGGCATATGATACATACAGAAATATGCTGATTCTCCTTTTCTGTTTCCAAGACTGACACAAGTAAAAGTAAAGCCATCAAACAAGAGTGCATTAGTGAAAACATCACTGCCTATCAAAACATTTAGAACAAGGAAAGAAGAAGATATTTTTAGTCTGTGATTGTAATAGAATAGCTGTGAAACAGTTTGATATTCTAGTCTAACAACTTTATAAAGCCACAGCAATGACTACTTTTATCTTCCCCATCAAAGATGATGCACTTTTAATGCTGAAACTATGGCCAAGAACTTGGTCCATTTCCAAATTAACAAACAGCGCTAATGGATTTGAGCCCATAGAGTGGCTATCCTAAGAAACTTTCCAAGGTGAAGCGATCTTTATTATAATAAAAAGGAAACTATGGTAACAGGCATAAAAAAATAAAATAAATAAGCAGTAATCTAAAAGGAACTTATATTGATAATGGTTGATATATAAATGTAGCATTCTTGGGGTAGCTCCTGGAACAGATCTGAACACTCAAAAATATGTGTGTCCTCTGGTTTGAAAGAGCTCTTGTACACACTGCAGCATTATCATATGAGCACTAATAGGATTGGAAATGTACATAGTATGTCCTTGAAAGATTGCCTACTAATCCAGTGACTTTCAGTTGAAAGTATGGGGGTAGGAAAAAAAAACAGAGAACAAGTCAGAGAGTTAATGCAATGAAACTGGAGAACCAGTAAATAGTAATTTTAAACAGATAATAGATTTCCTGGATCGAAGACTATTCAGGTTAGAATATTGTAATTTTCAAATTAGTAATCAACACACATTAAAGGTAGAATACTGATTTCATTTGTTTAATACTATAGAAGCAATGAATCCAGAAATCATAAAGAAATGTTCAGTCTATATAGAACCATCATTTTTTTATCTTTGCTGCATCAAACTCTATCCATCTTTTTTTTTCAAGAAGATAAAGTATAATTAACGCATCCAAGAGTTATCCCCTGGCATAAAGCCCTGCCTTCAATGCCATCCAATCCAAGTGAGGAAAAGAAGTAGAGGTGGGTTAGAGGAAAGAGTGTTGGTAAGGAGAAAACCAGCAATTCCTGCCACACTTTCTATAAGCTGTTACTGGTCAGCCTTTGGAAATGACATCTTAAAGTTGTGGATTCTGGCACTCACCCTGTTCTTGATTAAAACATAACATCTTAATTATCTAGATGTCTTTTCACCAACTGCACTAAGTTCTGCAATAATAGGGACACTATTTAACCACCTCAGCACTTCTGGTAAGAAAGCAGCTACTGGCTGGCCTCTTACTGGGAGACTGTTTTTTTGTTTTTTTTGTCTTTTTTTCCTTCTGAATCTCAACACAATTTCCTTCACTTCTCTACCTTAAATTTGCTAGCATTAAAATGATGTATAGCATCTGTGCAAAATGAATATTTATAAGATTCATACCCTTCTCCTTAATGTCACTTCACTGAATATAACAATAAGCTTCTGTTTCTTTTTTTGAAATATGTTAACAATAATACTAGCAGCAACCATGTATTGAGTGCTTACCTTGAGCCAGGTATTATGTCGAGAGCTTTTGCATATCCATTTAATCCTCACAGAAGTTCTCTGGGGTATTATGGTCATTCTCATTTAACAGCTGGGGAATCAGGTAAAGGTATGAGTAACTGTCCCATGATTTTACAGTCATGCCTAATAGGTTGGGATTTAGCCCAATATTGTTAGATATCAGAGACCTTTCTTTTAACGAGTGATTCCCAAATTTCTGTCCCTTTGAATATTAATTCCTTAGGTTGCTCTACAAAAAAAAGTGATCTGAGATCAAATAAATTTAATAAACACTGCATATTATGTTTTTCCCTTAGAGATTTAAAATGCATATTAGGGCAATAAAAGTTACAAAAAGGCATACAGTCAAGAAACCAGTTTAATTTTGATTAGCTATAAATTTTCCTAATTTATTTGAGCATGGAAACTCATGTATTCTCTGTAAATTACCTTATACATCACCCACTTTGGAAAATATTGCCATACTTTTTTCTCTTGAGTCAATAATTATAAGTCTCTTTGACTTGCCATTGTCTACTTTTTTATCTGAATATGACTTGCTTAATTACTCCACCTTCTAAAGCCTATCTTAATGGAAATGGTGCCACCCTTTTTTGACCAGAAAGCTCCTATTGATAGATGAGTAAAGTTGTAACTAAACAATAATCTTATCTCCTTACACTCCTCCCCTTCCTTATCATCTTCCCTCCATCCCCTGTCTTGGACCTTACTAATTTTGACTGGATCTTGAAGTTATAGCCAAGACATGGTCTGCACCAGAAGGTCTCCCAGAAACACATTACCCTTCAGGTTGAATGAGAATCTTATCTCCTATGGTACTATGGTACATAGTTCTGAATGGTATGTGGCTTTTAATTCAGCTCTTGAACACGTCAGTATCTGCTACAAAGAAATGTGTAGAATAAGGAGCATGGAATCACAAAATTTGTAGAATTCCTGGAGGCAGTGAATCCAACATAAATTTTACACTCTCAAATACATTAACTACTCTGGCAGATCAAACCCCTTTATTTCTTGAAAAGGTATTTACAAATTAAAATTAAAGGTCTTCACATTGGCCTTTGATACTGTTAGCAATATGTACCCTATCAACTGTTGCGGCTTTACTTAGATTTGTAATTCTTTCTTTTCCAACTCAAGTCTTTTCATTCTTTTTCTACACATGCAGCATGAATATTAGAATGAACATAGATTCTAGGGACAGGCAGAATACCATTAAGCAAAAAAGCAAACACTACCAAGTTAATTTGCTATCTTGTGCCTCATTTTCCCCATCTGTAGCCTAAACAAAAATTAACTTTCACAATTGTTATTGTTGTGAAATCACCTGGCACCTAATTAGTGTTTAGTCCATGTTAGCATTCTTTTCAGTGTCAAAACTTTTATTCATGCCCTTCTTGCTATCTGAACCATAATTTGCTAAGACTCTTTCTGAAAGTTTAAGGTTGTTATGAGCTTGTTTATGAAGCTTACCTTTAAAGCCAAACAAAGTGAAGCAATAGAAAGGATGTAGTATTTGCAATCAGACAAACCTAGGCCTGAACTCTTGCCATCTCCATTTCTTGACTATGTAACTGTAAGTAAGTTATTTAGCCTCCCAAAAGTTCAGTTTTCTTATCTCTAAAGTCAGGAGTACAACATCCACCTCATGAGGTTACATCAGGCATTAAGTAGAATAGCAAAAAAGAAATGTCTAGTATTGTGCTACTGTTAATCTCTATCATTTCGTGCAGTGTTCAACCATAGCATTATTTCTTGACAAATGTAGTGACTGAGTAAGAAAATGTTTCTTCCAGTTAATGCTAGAGATTAAACTGAAGGAAATCTACCACAGTGTCCTAGAAGTTGATGAGATTTACCAGAATTGATTTTAGCTCTTCCATGTAGGTTTGGGGAGTGCTGCAGTCAGGAGGGACAGAAGAATGTGAAAATAGATGAATATTCCAGGCTTCCAGGGTTCATGCAACCCAATCATCAAACTCATATTCCCAGAGCAAGGCTACTTATCCCTGTTGCGCTTGGCAGAGGAACAAAGAATTCATGAGCTATCTTTGCCACAGAATTAGACACTGAAGCCTGGAATTAAATCAAAGATGGTCTTTTGCCCTTCCCCTTGGTAGTGAAGCCATGTACTTGTGTAATGTCTTGTTTCTTCGAAATTTCAGAATGCATTTCTGAGAGTAGGGACATGGGAAGAACCTTTTCACTCAATGGATGAGTTACTGCAACTGATGCTTCAGTTTTTCTACTTGCTGCTAAAGCTTCACTTTTTCAATCCATCCAGCAAGTATCATTCTAGATTGACCTTCTTCAGTTTCCTTTATCATGGCATTCCAGAACTGACTTACATCACACCAATACTGATTGGCCTAGATTCCAAAACCATATATAATGACCCTGATATTTTTATTAGCATATTTTCCAATTTCCAGACTTCTTAGTCAACACTCAGAACAACTGTAAATTGCTCTTCTAATAAGTTTCTGTTCTAAAAATAATAAAAGAGCTTACTGATGCTGTGAACAACTGCTTCAAGTAAAAACAACATAGGCACAATTCCTGTATAGTCTATTTTTTTTTTTTTTTTTTGAGATGAAGCGTTGCTGTGTCACCTAAGCTGGAATACAGTGGCGCGATATCAGCTCACTGCAACCTCCACCTCCCGAGTTCAAGCGATTCTTCTGCCTCAGCTTCCTGAGTAGCTGGGGTTACAGGCACGTGCCACCATGCCAGGCTAATTTTTGTATTTTTAGTAGAGACATGGTTTCGTCATATTGGTCAGGCTGGTCTTGAACTCCTGACCTTGTGACCCGCCTGCCTTGGCCTCCCAAAGTGCTGGGATTACAGACGTGAGCCGCTGCGCCTGGCCTAATACATTATTTTCTAATACCTTACTTTTTAAAATAGCTTTATTGAGATACAGTTAACATATCTTACAATTCATCTGTTTAAAATGTACAATTAGTTTTAGTATATTTGTAGAGTTGTGCAGCCACCACCATTTTAGAGTCCATTTTAGATTTTTATCACCTCAAAAAGAAACCCTCTACCCATTAGCACACACTCTGTCATCCCCCTCCCAACTAGACAACCACTAACCTACTTTAATTCTCTATGGCTTTGCATATTCTGAATATTTCATATAAATGGAAACACACAATTTGTGATCTTTTAGAACTGGCTTCTTTCACTAAGCAAAATGTTTATCCGTGTTTTATCATGTATCCATACTACATTCTTTTGTGGTGTCAAATAATATCCTATTGTATAGATATACCACACTTTACTTTTTCATTCATCAGTTCATGTACATTTGTTTCCATTTTTTGAAATAATGAATAACGTGTACAAGTTGTTGAGTGCATATATGTTTAATATTTGGAGGAAATGCCAAACAATTTCTGAATTGGCTTTTGCAAGCCAATGCCTCATTCGAAGTAGAAAAGAAAGTTAATTTTGTAAGCTTAATAAATTATGGTTTTTATTATTATTAGAAAAAGATGAACCAGAGGGATTGACAACAGGTTACAGAAACAGTGAGAAGCCCAGTGTTAAAATTTATTTTTTTAACCTCTAGTCATGTGTTCTTCCACCTATAACTTTCTGAAAGAAGCACATTGCAATGTATGATGATGTTGCTTAGGTCTTTTCACCTTATTTTGTTCCAAGCCTCATTTAAACTGCGTAAAAGGACCCAGTATGATACACAAAGCAATTTGTAAGAGAGAGGACAGAATAAGAAAGTTCCAGGTTATGCAATAATAAACTAAAATGATATTTCTCCACTTTCTAAAGAAAAAACCCTCTCAGATATAGTGAATAAAGCCAAATTAGTAAGTCTTTGTGATGAATTGAAATGCTTAACTGTGGTGAGTCTTATATAATTTTGAGATTTTGAGAGAGAGCAAGAATACTCAAGGTGAAGTGAAATTATTATCAGGCTTTAGTGTATATGAATACAACCTGGACTTACTTGTTAGAATTGGATATTCCTGGAACTTGTGACATGCATCCCGCAGAGATTCTGACCCAGTATGTGTGGGGTGGGGCCAAGCAAGTTGCACTTTAAACAAGTACATGGGGATTGTTTAAATCAGATGTTCTATAGATAGTATTTTTTGGTAATACTGGTAGGATAGACTGAGCTTTGAAATTAAACAGGTGAAATTTAAATCCTTGCTTACCCATTGGCTTGGTAACACCTGCCAGTTTCATAGAATAGATGCACAAATTTTCAATTTCATTAATAGTCACTTCACAGAGCTTCCGTGAAGGTGCAATGAAAAAACCCATCACATATCATTACATATATGTAAAGGATCTGGCTTTATCTAATGTTGGCTTCCTTCCTGCTTCCATAAACCAGAGTCATAAGTGACTGATAGAAACGGGCTTATACAACTGTGCAAAATGATTGTTGCTTTCTTTTACCTTTTTTTCTTGAGGCCAACCTCACCTCTTCTCCTGATTTCTTCATTGTGAGCATCCTGCCTCAGCCCATGAGAAATTTGAAAACCCTCTCATTTAGGTGAACTAGCTGCAGCTGCAAACCTGATAGAGGGAACAAGGTACTATATATGCCCAATGTTGATTAGCATCGCTGCAACTCATTATTCTGATCAGCCAGAAGCAATTTACAATCATCTTTAAGCAAGTGCACATCATTTTCCTAATTGACTTGCAGGAGCTTTGACACAACAACTTGTTGTAGCTGTCAATCACTGTCAAAAGATAGAGGAGGAGGAGGCCCTTCTGGAGAGAAAAGCAAAGGCACAGTGCCTGTCCACAGTGGACTGACTGTAGCCAGACAGGAGCTCAATGTGGAGCAGTCTGTCTATACATCCTTTTCTAAGTTGCTGTTCTTCAAGCCTTACAGAATAATCTCTTTTAGATGGAGAAAAGGACCAGAGAGAAGGCAGAACTCAGTGATGCTATTACCTGGTTTAAAGAAGCATGCAATAAGAATGACAGGTTTGAGCCATACGTTTCTGAGCCTCAGATTTTAATATTTGTTTATTTTTCCCCTTCTATAACATCTCTTATTTTTGCTAGCTATAATATAAAAAATAATTGGCAGGCAAAATCATTCATTCTTTGAAAGAATTATACATTTTTGGATGACTCCAGAGATATAGCAGATACATAGATAGATAGATAGATAGATAGATAGATAGAGCTTAAATATTTTCTGAAACAAATAGAAATAAGAATGTTTAAAATGTATGTACTTAACATAATATTTATTTGAATAATTGGGAAAGGGAACATGGTCTAATTTTTGTATCCATAATACCTAAGAAAGTGAGGAGTGTGAGAATATAGTAAATGACCTTGAAACAAAAATATAACAACAACAAAACGAAAGCAAAATGTTGAACAACTGGTATTAAATAAATGTTACTTCCCAAATGTATTATTAGTTTTTGTCTTGGCAAAATGACATGAACAATATCAACCATAAAATATTTTCATGCAAATTATAAGAACCAATTATTGTAAAAGCACTTTGAAAAGTACAAAGTTGGGAGCACAGGCAATGTATTAAAAAAAAAAGCAAAGGGAATCTTCATGAGGAAGTTGGCTTGGGTTCTAGTTCTGCCAAAAATGGGTAGTGTAACTTAAATACATTATTTTTATTTCTCAAATAAATAAACAATGTCGGGAGTTATGATAATTAAATAATATAATGCATATAATATGTAAACAAGATTCTCTGTATGCTATGGGTGCTCCATAAATGGTACTTGTAATGTTTATTGAAGATTCATATAAGGGGAAATATGCTTTTTGTTGTCTATTAGGTAAAAGTTTTAAATGTCAGTTATTTGAAAGAAACAACTTAAATGAACTGTTCAATGCATCTGTGTTTTTAGTCATGTGATTGCAGTTGTTTGAATACTGCCCTGTGCTAGACCCATGTAAATAAACACACAATACTCTGAGATGGCCTCAGCACATCGGAAAAAGTGCCCTTAACATAAGAAAGCAGGTAAGTGAAACACAGATGTTCAGAATGCCAGGCTGCGTGGTCCAAACTCAGTGTGCGAGCATTTAGAGATAGTAGTGACAAAAGCTGAGCTACTTTCTCCTTTACCTGGTTGTAAATACTAAAAGGTGGCTTTGTTTTCTATAAAGTAGTCATTAACCATGTTTTTTGAAGATATCCTATAGCAGGCTAAGTTGTGTACAATGAACCCATGCTAGATATTATTTCCATGAGCGCAGAAAATATCATTCTTTACTTTTGTCATTTACCTGAGGATCAAGAGCAGTTCTTTGCAGATAAAAAGGTTTTCATAACTATTTGTTAATGTGTGAATAAAATCAACTTTCTAAAATTTAAAGCACTGAATAAATTGCACTTCTATATCCTGGGTTTGCATCTTTCTCCCCTCATCACAGTTTAACATGCTGCTTTTTTATGAATTTGTCAGTACCTCTTAGTATCTAGTAAAGGCCAAGAGGATAGGTACCTTATTTTACTCTGCTCTTAGGACCCAGATCAATGACAAATGCCTACAATTTGTATTTATTTGTTGTTAAGTCTGTCTTCTCCTTCTGTACATGTTTAGTTTCCTAAATGCCCTGAATTGTGAACATTCACAGTCATCTATGTGCATGTATGCACAGTCGTCTATGTGCATGTGCACATGCATATGGACTTGTTCAGCACTATTTGAACTGTTGGAGTGTTTAAGTCTGTAGGCTCATGTCTTTTAATGTTCTGGAACATTCTCAGCCATTATTTCTTTAAATATTGATTCTCCTTCATTTTTTTTTTGTCCCCTTCTTAGCGGAACTTAAAATAGATGGATATAGAAATTCTGGATCTGTCCTCCTTAGCGTTTAACTTTTCTTCCATAATTTCCATTTTTCTCTTTGCACTGCTATCTGGGAGAATTGTTAACTCAATCTTTCAGAGCATTAGTTTACTATTTAACTGGATCAAGTCTACTTTTCAGTTTTCTGTTTCACTGCAGCTGTGATTTTTTTATTTACATGATCTCTAATTGTTTTTATGTTGTAACTATCTTTTATGTATATCTTCTGTTCTGAAATTATATAAGTGAATTCCTCATTCTCGTTATATATCAGATGATATAAAATATTATCCTTCCATTTATATTTTAAGGAAGCTATTTCTTCTACTTACATTTTAGATTTTAGATCTTGTCACATTTGCCTTCCCTGAATTTTATATATTTTTTTATATTCAACCCTTACGTTTCTCCCTTTATTCTTCTCATCACAATTTAAAGATGCTCATTTTTCCACTTAAAAAAATAAATCTCATAGATTCTGTACATTATATTTTTGTTGGATGCACAGTTTGCAAATATTTTCTCTCACTGTATATGTGGTCTGTTTACTTTGTCGATAATTTATTTTGCTGTGCAGAAGCTCTTTAGTTTAATTAGGTCCTGTTAGTCAATTTTTGTTTTTGTGGCAATTGCTTTTGGAGTCTTTGTTATAAAATCTTTGCCAGGGCTGATATCCAGAATGGTATTTTCTAGGTTTTATTCTAGGGTTTTTATAGTTTTAGATTTTTCATGTAAGTATTTAACCCTCCTTCGTTGATTTTTTATATGGCAAATAAGGGGTCTGGTTTCAGTCTTCTATATAGAGCTAGCAGGTTATCCCAGCACCTTTTATTGAATAGGAAGTACTTTCTCTGTTGCTTGCTCTTGCTGAGTTTGTCAAAGACCAAATGGTTGTAGGTGTGCAACTTTGTTTCTGGGTTCTCTAACTTGTTCCATTGGTCTATGTGTCTGTTTTTGTACCAGTACCATGATGTTTTGCTTATGATAGCCTTGCAGTATAGTTTGAAATTGGGTAGTGTGATGCCTATAGCTTTGTTCTTTTTGCTTAGAATTTCTTTGGCTATTCAGGCTCTTGTTTGGTTCCATATGAATTTTAGAATGGTGTTTCCTAATTCTTTATAAAATGTCATTGGTACCTCAATAGAAATAGCACTGAATCTGTAAATTGCTTCAGGCAGTATGACCATTTTAACAATATTGATTCTTTTGGAATCTATAAGGAACTTAAGTTACCAAACAGAAACAAACAACCCTGTTAGAAAATGGTCAAAGGAGATGAATAGACACTTCTCAAAAGAAGACATCCATGTGGTGAACAAGCATATGAAGAAATGCTCAACATTGCTAGTAATTAGAGAAATGCAAATCAAAATCACAATGAGATACCATCTAATTCTCACACCAGTCAGAACGGGTATTATTACAAAGCCAAAAAATAACAGATGCTGGTGAGGTTGTAAAGAAAAGGAAACACTTATACACTGTGGGTGGGAATGTAAATTAACTCAGTCACTGTGAAAAGCAGTTTGGAGATTTCTTAAAGTACTTAAAATGAACTACCATTCAACCCAGCAATTCCATTACTGGGTATATACCCAAAGGAATATACATTGCTCTACCATAAAGACACATGCACACATATGTTCATCACAGCACTATTCACAATAGCAAAGATGTGGAATCAACCTAAGTGCCCATCAGTGGTGGACTGGATAAAGAATACATGGTACAAATACACTGTGGAATACTGTGCGCCATTAAAAAATATTATGTTCCTTGCAGCAACATGGCTGGAGCTAGAGGCCATTATCCCAAGAGAATTAACACAGGAACAGAAAACCAAATACCACATAATGTCACTTACGAGTGGGAGCTAAACACTGAGTACACATAGACACAAAGAAGGGAACAATAGACACCAGGCCCACTTGAGGGTAGAAGGTGAGAGCAGGGTGAGGATTGAAAAACTACCTATCGGGTACTATGTTCATTACCTTGGTGTAACACAATCCACCCATGGAACAAATCTGTACACATACTCCCCTGAACTTAAAAGTTGGAAAAGAAATTTAAATTAAAAAAAAATCGTCCTTCAATGACACATTACTTATCATGCAAACCTCATCTCTCTCTTCAATATCTAAAGCCATTGAACGAATGTTCTATATATGTATATGATCTACTTTTCCACCTTTCATTAATTTCAAACTGATTTCAGCTCCCTTATTGATATGGTTTGGTTTTGCCCCTACCCAAATTTCATCTTGAATCCTAGTTTCCATAATCCCCACATTGTCATGGGAGGGACACTGTGGGAGGTAATTGAATCATGGGGTCAGTTACCTCTGTGCTGTTCTCCTGATAGTGAGTTAGTTCTCATGTGATGGGATGATTTTGTAAGAGGCTTTCCCCTCCTTCACTCTGCACTTCTTGCTGCTGCCATGTGAAGAATGACGTGTTTGCTTCCCCTTCTGACATGATTGTAAGTTTCCTGAGACTTCCCCAGGCCTGTGGAACTGTGAATCAATTAAATCTCTTTCCTTTATAAATTACCCAGTCTCGGGTATGTGTTTATTAGCAGCATGAGAATGAACTAATACTCTTATCAACTACCTAATATTGGTAAGTAGAATAAAATGTTTGTTGTTGCTCCATTTTACTTGCTTCCTTGCATATTAATTATTGTTGACACTCTCTTTTCTTAGCTTCCATGATGTTACTGTTGGTTTCTCTCCTACCTCTCTGGATTCTCCTTTTCAGTCTTATTTGCATGCTCATATTCATTTCCTCTGCCACCATACATTGCGACACCACAGGGTTCTGTCCTCTTCTAACTCTATTTTTCCTATAGCATCAAAATTATATACCTGGACCTGATAGATTCCTTCATACAGATGAGTTTGCATATCCAATACAGAATTCTCCTAAGAGCTCTAGGCCTCCGTCTAGTTTCTATAACTTGGCACAACCATCTCTTCTAGCTCAGCCAATCACACACTTAAGGACATTTCATGGCATCTTTCTGTCTTTCACCTCTCTAAATCTAATCAATCATTGCTATGATCTAAATGATTATACACCCCAAAGTTCATATGTTGAAGTCCTAACACCCAAGGTGATAGAATTAGGAGGTGAGGCCTTTTGGGTGATTATTAGGTACCCTTGTAAAAGAAGCCCCAAAGAGCTGCCTTGCCCTTTCCACCATGTGAGCACATAACTGCAAGTTTCTGTCTACAAACCAGGAAGCACACCCTCACCAGACACTGAAGCTGTCATCTCCCTAATTTTGAACTTCTTAGCCTCCAGACCTGTCAGAAATAGTTTTTTGCTGTTTATCCACCATCCAGTCTATGGTATTTTGTTATAGCAGCCCAATGGACTAAGACAATTACCAATACTTATCATCTTTACCTCTAAATACCTCTCAAATCTGTCATCTTTCTTCTACCTTTTCTACTATTTCTCTAGTTCAAGCTGTTATCCTTTCTCATTTGGGCCTCTGGGCTAGATTCCTAATTAATGCTCCTGTTCGCTTTGCCATCTTTCAGTCTGTTTCCACATTTTAGCCAGAACAACCTTTTAAAGATAAAAACCATATCATTCTTTTACTTAGACATAAGACTCTCTGCTGTTGTTTGGATACAAACCAAAATCCTCAATATGATTAACAAGGTCCTCCATGATCTGGCCCTGACTCCATTAGCCTTGTTCAACACTATGATCTCACTTGCTCTCTGAACTCTGACCATACTAACCTTCTTTCAATCCTCAGACTGTGACCTCTTCACCTCTAAAATCATATATTTTTCCTGCCTGGAATTTCCTTTCTAGTCCTCCACATGTAGTTAATGACTACAATCCATCAAATCTCCTCTAAAATACAATCTGTGCAGGCTTACCTTCCCTCACCCCTAGATTGCTATGGCACATCTTCTCTGCGTGACATTTACCAGAGTATATTGATAAATTGTATACATTTCTTTGTGTGGTTAATTGGTTGACGACCACCTACACATTTGGACTATGAACTGCTTTCACAGACCCTATTTAGCTTAGCCTATTGAGCAAATAGGAGACACTTAAAAATACTTTTTGATAAATGATCGAAAATATTTGAATAAAATGTTTTATGGGTTTGATGTTTGCTATAGTGATTGATTCCTTTATAGTTTCTGTCTGCTGTCACAAATTACTTTTAGTTTTTGGATGGACTAGAAGATATTTTAGGAACTCTATGTACATCAGCAGAAAAGAGATGACATATTAAAACTGGGTAAATTTGAAGATATTTTAATAAGAAAGGATTTACACAGTAGTGAGACGAGTATAGAGAAATCACAAGAGATAGTAATATCAGTGAGAGTGGACGGGAGATCATTGTCTTCCCTCCCGTCAGTTTGCTAACTGTGATCTTCATTTACTAAACCCAATCAGAAGACAGAGAAAAGAGAGCCTGTTGTTACAGACTGTACAGACAATTTCCTTGGGCAAAAAGAAAGACTGAGAGAATGGATTTTAAGGAACAAATGAAAATTTCCATTACATTGTACAAAACTGATGACACCTAGAACAGTCATTTGTTTGCTTCTTCATTCATTTTTATTTACTTATTTAGTATAAGACTGAAGTTGCCTTTTGTTTATTATTTAGTAGGTAATGTTTTCCTGTGTGAACTCTGGCCTCCAAAAACACATGCAAAAAACTGAAAAAAATATTAAGAAATCTACCTTTCAAAGTAGGTACAGCTATGTGAATAAGATATCTGTTTGGCCTTGTTTTCTCTATTCTTCCATATTCATTATGGGACTGAAAGATTCAGATGTTCCTTTGTAATCACCTTGCTCGTCAGGGAACTCTTCCTTTCCTCATCTCAGCAATGAGGAAACAACTCTAACAAGGAGAATGAGAAAAAAATTTTTTCTCTCTCTTATACTCTCATATCTTAGATAAAGTTGTTTTTCTTATGTGTACCAGGTATTTTTCAAAATATTTCTATTCTTGGTTTCTTGATCCTTTCTTATTTCTTCTTGAAATTTAAAAGGCAAAACGACTAATACAAACCAAAAGCACTTAATACAACACTGAATGGCTGAATGGCTCACTGCCATCTCTAGGAAAAGTTCACAATGGTTCTGCATGATCCTCCTATAAACTTCATTTTTAAGACTGGCAATAAAATCCATACATATTTCTTCACACAGTTTGCCTTAAATTGTGCCCCATTGATATTGATCTTCATACAACAAACAAGAAAAAACTCCAATTAAGAATTTTGAAGGAAAAGCTCCACAACACTGGTCTGGGCAATAATTTTTTGGATTTGACTCCAAAAGCTCAGGCAACAAAAATAAAAATAGACAAATAGTATTACATAAAACTGAAGTTTCTGCACAACAAAGAAAACAATTAACAGAGTCAACATACAGATGGAGAGAAAATATTTGCAAGCCATACATTTGATAAGATGTTAATATCCAAAATATATAAGAAACTAATACAACTTAATAGAATAAAAACAAATAACAGAATTTTTTAATGGGGAAAATACTCAAATGGACAAATGTGTAATTGACCAAAAGATATACGACAAAATGTTCAACATCACGAATCATTAGAGAAATGCAAATTAAATGAGATACTGCCTCACACCTCTCAAAATGGCTATTATCAAAAAGATAAAACATAGATGTTGGAGAGTATATGGAGAAAAAGGAATCTTTGCACACTGTTAGTGGGAATATAAATAAATACAGCCCTTATGGAAAACTGTATATAGGTTCCTCAAAAAACTAAAAATAGAACTACCACTGGATCCAGAAATTCTACTACTGGCTGTATATCCAAAGCATCTGATGGTTTGGCTCTGTGTCCCCAACCAAATCTCATCTTGTGGCTCTCATATGTTGTGGTAGGGACCAAGTGGGAGATGACTGAATCATAGCGGAGGGTCTTTCCCCCATCGTTCTCCTGATGGTGAGTGGGTCTCATGAGATCTGATGGTTTTGAAACAGGAGTTTCTCTGCATAAGCTCCCTCTCTGCCTGCTGCCATCCACGTAAGATTTGACTTGCTTCTCCTTGCCTTCTGCCATGATTATGAGGTCTCCCCACACACAAGGAACTGTAAATTCTCCATTAAACCTCTTTCCTTTGTAAATTGCCCAGTCTCAGGTATATCTTTATCAGCAGTGTGAAAACAGACTAATACAGTGAATTGGTACTGGGAGTGGGGCATTGCTGAAAAGATATCTGAAAATGTAGCAGTGACTTTGGAACTTGATAACAGGCAGAGGTTGGAACAGTATGGAGGGCTCAGAAGAAGACAGGAAAATGGGGGAAAGTATGGAACTTCCCAGAGTCTTACTGAATGACTTTGACAAAAATGCTGATAGTGATATGAACAATAAGGTTCAGGCTGAGATGGTCTCAGATGGAGATGAGGAACTTGCTGGCAAATGGAACAAAGGTGACTTGTTATGTTTTAGCAAAGACATTGGCCACATTTTGCCCCTGCCCTTGAGATTTGGTACTTTGAACTTGAGAGAGATGATTTAGGGTTTCTGGTGGAAGAAATTTCTAAGCATCAAAGCATTCAAGAGGTGACTTGGGTACTGTTAAAGGCATTCTGTTTTAAACAGGAAACAGAGCATAAAATTTTGGAAAATTTGCAGCCTAACAACGCCATACAAAAGAAAATCCCATTTTCTGAGGAGAAATTCAAGCCAGCTGCAGAAATTTGCATAAGTAATGAGGAGCCTAATGTTAATCCCCAAGACAACGGGGAAAATCTCTCCAAGGCATGTCAGAGTTCTTTGTGACAGCCCCTCCCATTACAGGTCTGGAGGCCTAGTAGGAAAAAGTGGTTTCGTGGGCCAGGCCCAGGATCACCATGGTGTGTTCAGCCTAGGGATTTGGTGCCCTGCATCCCAGTCACTCCAGCCATGGCTGAAAGGGGCCAATGCAGAGTGCAAGCCATGGCTTTGGAGGGTGCAAGCCTCAAACCTTGGCAGCATCCACATGGTGTTGAGCCTGTGAGTGTACAGAAGTCAAGAATTGAGGTTTGGGTACCTCCACCTAGACTTCAGAAGATGTATGGAAATGCCTAGATGCCCAGGAAAAGTTTGCTGCAGTGGTGGGACCCTCATGGAGAACCTCTGCTAGGGAAGTGCAGAAGGGAAATGCAGGGTCAGAGCCCCCACACAGAGTCCCTACTGGGGCACTGCTTAGTGGAGCTGTGAAAAGAATGCCACCATCCTCCAGACCCTAGAATGGTAGATCCACCGATGGCTTGCACTGTGTACCTGGAAAAGCCGTAGATGCTCAATAACAGCCTGGGAAGGCAGCTGGGAGGGAGGCTGTACCCTGCAAAGCCACAGGGATGGAGCTGCCCAAGATGACAGAAACCTACCTCTTGCATCAGTGTAACCTGAATTTGAGGCATGAAGTCAAAGGAGATAATTTTGGAGCTTTAATATTTGACTGGCCTGCTGGATTTCGGACTTGCATGGGTCCTGCAGCCCATTTGTTTTGGCCAATTTCTCCCATTTGGAATGGCTGTATTTACCCAATGCCTGTACGACCACTGTATCTAGGAAGTAACTAACTTGATTTTGATATTACAGGCTCATAGGTGGAAGGGACCTGCCTTGTCTCAGATGAAAGTTTGGACTGTGGACTTTTAAGTTAATGCTAAAATGAGTTGAGACATTAGGGAGCTGTTGGAAATGCATGATTGCTTTTGAAATGTGAAGATATGAGATTTGGGAGGGGCCGGGGTGGAATGATGTGGTTTGGTTTTGTGTCCCCACCCAAACCTCATCTTGTGGCTCCATGGTTCCCATGTGTTGTGGGAGGGACCGGGTGCTAGATGATTGAATCATGGGGTGGGTCTTTTCCATGCTGTTCTCCTGTTGGTGAGTGGGTCTCACGAGATCTGATGGCTTTGAAAACGGGAGTTTCTCTGCACAAGCTCTCTCTTTGCCTGCCTCCACCACATAAGATGTGACTTGCTCCTCCTTGCCCCTTGCCTTCTGCCATTATTGTGAGGGTTTCCTAGCCACGTGTAACTGTGGGATCTCCATTAGACCTCTCTCCTTTGTAAATTGCCCAGTCTCATGTATGTCTTTATCAGCAGCATGGAAATGGACTAACGCAGCATCTGAAATCAGTATGTCAAAGATATATCTGTAGTCTCATGATTATTTCAGCATTATTCACAATAGCCAAGATACAGAATCAATCTAATGGTCATCAATGGATGAATGGATAAAGAAAACATGGCATATACATAATGAAATATTATTCAGTCTTCAAAAAGCCCTGCCATTTGTGATAATATGGATTAAACTGGAGAACATTATGTTAAGTAAAATAAGCCAGCCATGGAACTACAATTACAACACGATCTCACTTATATGTGGAATCTAAAAAGGCTGAACTCATAGAAGCAGAGAGCTGGATGGTGGTTACCAAGGGATGGGGGCCAGAAGAAATGAAAAAATGTTATCAATGAACAAAGTTTCAGGTAGACAGGGGGAACACATGATAAGTATTTGAGGTGATATATATATTGGCTTCATTTAATTATTGCACAATGTATACATATATGATAGTATCACTTTGTATCCCATAAATATATATAATTTGTCACATTTAATAAAAAATTTAAAAAATTAATTTTGAATACTTAATCTTGAATATTCCCTTATGTAGCTGCATATCCAGTTCTGAGTTCTCATCTTAAATCCAGCCAGTCTCAATACCTGCCGTGATGGCAAAGGTACTATATCCTTAGGCAGCTCATTCCAAAGGGGGCCATCTCTAACTCTATTCTTTATTCCTTGCTTTATCCAAAAATCTATCTGATCCAAAAATCTATATAGCCACCATTTATCAAAGGATTACTGTGGTTGGGGGACTATGTTAAGTGCTTTACACATTATCCTTTTCAACCCTCACAACAGTGCAGTATGTAGGTATATATTGTTTCATGACAATATTTAATGACTAATCCCTCTGGCCGTACCCCTTTGCTTTTTGCCTTTCTGTTCCTCCTATTCAGATATGGGAACTTCTTCTCCTATGTACTTAAATTGGGACTAATCTCATATCTTGAGAAACAGACTATGGCAGAAGTAACAATGAGCGTGGTCTATATCCTTAGGCTTCTAAGGTCCCTAAAAGATCTTTCTCTGCTTTCTTGGAATGCTGCCCTGAGGCCACCAAATAAGGAAGTCAACCTAGGCTTACTGAGAGATAAGAGGTGAAGTGGAAAAAATGTAGGGCACCTCACCTTATAGCCAGCACCAATTATCAGACATATGGATCAATGCAGCTTGGATGTTCCAGCCCAGCTAACACTCCAGCCAAATGCCACACCATGAGTTAGACCAGGCAAAGGCACCAGAAAATCTGGCCTGCTCATCCACAGAACTTAGAGAAATAATATATTATTGTTTTAAGCCACGAAGTTTTGGAGTGTTTTTTATATAACAAAGGCTAATTCAAAGAGTAGGTGTTATAATTTTATTTTATAAATGAGGAGAATGAGGCAGGCAAATATTTAGTATATTGTCCAAAAGAGCATACACATTCTATGGCAGAGATAGAATTTGAATCCAGGTCTTTCTGAATCCAAATTTCATGCCAGAAGACACAGTGATACACTGCTTCTTTATTTCATAGTTTCTTTAATTACTTTCAAATATTTAAAGGTGACAACCATGTGGTTCAAATTCCTTTATCTTCCAAACTAGACATCCCATATTCTTTTTACTTTTCTTCATGTAACACGCCTTCTGGTCTTATCCACATGGTATTCTCTCCATTTGAAGACCTAACAATGTATCCACCTCTATCTAAATGTTAGGTGTCAGAACTAAATGCTAGGTGGAATCAGACTACAACAGAATAGAGCAGGGTTTTCAAACTTTGACCTGTGTGCTAACTTTGATCTGCCACCTGTTTTTGTATGAATCATAAGCTAAACAAGATTTTTAGATTTTTAAAATAGTTGAATAGAAAATGAAGAAAAGAATAATATTCCATGATACATAAAACTTATGCAAAATTAAAATTTCAATATCTATAAGCAAAATTGATTGAAACACAGCCATACTCATTTGTTTATATATTACCTATGGCCATTTTCCCACTACAACCACAGACATGAGTAGTTTCGACAGAGAAGACATTAGTGCCCACAGAGCTGAGAGTATTTACTAGTTGGCCCTTTTCAGAGGAGTTTCTCTGAGCCTTGAAATAAGGCAACTGCAATCTGCTTCACTTTGCATGCTCTACATTTATTATTTCATCCTTTTCTTATATAATCTTTATGGGTAGTAACATCACACTTTTGAATAATATTCACACAGAGCTACCTTTTCACTCATTTTCATAAGCCACAAGTCCTCTATTTCAGTGATTCAGGCCGTCTTTCCAATCTTTAAAATACCTTATTGGGTTTTTATTCTGCCCTCCAACATGTTAAACTTTTTCCCCATGTTGGTATAATCCAAGAACTTAAGAAATATGATTACAATGTGCTTGATGAAGTGATTAAATAAATATGGGGTGGAGGAGAGCCCTCTCACCGAACACTAAAAATTCTTCTCAGGTTTGAGTACCCATTCATTAGTTAAAATATTTTTATCAGCATACCCATATTTTGAGCAAATTTTGTTCCCAAGATCACCACCTATAATTGGTTAATTTATTCAGAACATCTATATTGAATTCCTACCATGTCCTGGCTACTGTGCATTGCGCTGGTGAAAAAATAATGAACACAGCACACAGGTTGCCCGCTCATTCAAACTTCCAGTCTAGTTAGTAAACGCACTCGAAATATGTGATTATAGACAGTAATGATTATTATAAAAAAGGCTTTAATTATTAGCATGTGCTACTAGACATTCATGCAATTCATGGCTAAAATCCCTGTTGTCTCCTTGAACAATGTCTTTGACAATTCTATGAAAAAAAGGAGCTAAGTTAACATGACTTGTTCTGGATAAATCAGTGCTAGTGCCCAATGATCAGTGTTTTCTTGACATGTGAGCCTGAACCTTCAGTGTATTTACAAATCACCTGGGGATCTTGCCACCATGCAGACTCTTGTTCAGTAGGTCTGGGTTGTAGCCTGAGATTCTGCATCACTAACAAGCTCTGAGAGGCTGTCTACCTACTTCTCCTCTACCCACCTAATTCTGAATAACAAAACCTCACTAGCTGCTCACAACTTAGCTCTTTCATAATCAGTTCCTGCCCTAAAAGAACATGTCATTTTAGAGAGGCATTATAGAAGTGTTTCAGTAGAGAAAGGCAAGTAGCACAGTGAAAACCGCAGGCTCTGGTGTCAGACAGATCGGAATACACAGTCCCACACCTAGAGAACTGTGAGCTTAACCTGTGTCCTCACCTCACTGCACCTCAATTTCCTCATCAGTGAAAATGGAAATGACAGTTTGTTGTGGGATTATTGAGAATAACCTTGAAACACGGTAGGCTCTAAACAAATGGTAGCTGTTAATGTGTTTATTAAAGGAGTAACATGAACAGAATTGTGCTTTGAGAAAATTAATCTGTCAGCAAAATCCAGTGTGGTTTCAAATGGAGAAAGAGCAGGCGCACTTGGATAAATCAGACCTCTTTTCAATTTTGTCTCATCAACCAATATTTAATGAGCATGTACTATGTGTTAGAACCTGTGCTAGATGCTGGGATATAAAGCTGAATCTGGCAGTCTTCAGAATTCAGCTGTGGAGATACATTGGCAAACAGCCACTAGACTTTGAGGCATTCTGATACACCTTGACCTATCGATTCATTTTACAACATGCCAGGAAAGTAGCAGCTGCGATGAGAAACTGAAAATAGATTTGTGATCTGCATTATAGTGGTGAAGGTGCTAGTATAAGATATGGATTACAAGAAAAAAAGTGTCAATGATAACTCTGAGGCCTCAAGACCTGGGAAGCTGGTGGTTTCATTAATCAAAATAAGCAATGTAAAAGAAAAATAAGGTAAGGGTGGGGAAACATTGAGTTTCCTTTTGCACATATTGTATTAAGGAGACATTGGGTCATCTCAATGGAGATGAATTCAAAGTCATTTTGAAATAGAATCATCATGGGCAACAATATGTGTAGCTGAAGCTCATTCACAGAATTCGGGGAAAACTAATATGTATTTTCTGGTTATTTTGGTAATAATTATAATTTGGATTACACGTTTGGGTATATACTGTACGTTTGCAGACACAGAGAAAGGCACGTGTGTTTATGTTTGGTGTTTACTCTAGATCAGCAGTTTAAAAAATTACTACACTGTTTTTACTCTATTAATGACAGTCTGAATTTGGAAGTCTTGATAAGTTGTTTACAAGGAAGTTCAGAAGGAGAAATCAGTGCATGTTTGCTGAATATTGTGAAAACATTTTTCTCAGGATGCATCGCTAGAAATGGCAATTAGTCAATGTAGGGAAACTAATATATCTTTAGACAGTAAGTCACACTAAAACAAATATCCAGACCAAAGCAGTTTAGCTTCTGAGAGAAATAAGTGGAATTGTGTTGATATATAAAAAGTTTCACACAATTTACATTTGTTACCCATGAATTCTCATTAGAGTTCTCAGAATCATCCAAAAGAGAAGCTTTCATATTTATATTTTAGAGACAAATATAGTGAGGAATGGTGAAATGAGGAACTTATAGGCTCACAGACACAGAGAATAAATGAGTGCCTGAAACGTTTATATAAATGCCTGCTGTAAATCACACACTGTGCCAGGAACTTTCACATTTGCTTTTTGTTTCTGTCTCACCATAACCCTGTGCATTGAGTATTACATTATCTTTGTTATTTTGCATATGAGATAATGCAGTGAAATAGAGTTTAAATAATTTGATCAAGATCATTTGTGGGTTGCCTTCACATCAACCACTTCGCTCTTTCCCTTTCTTAACGGCTACAGTTTCTGTTTAGGGATCAGTGTGAGTTCAGAGAAACTGAATTTATCTCTGGTTCCCTAGGTGAAACACATGAACTAAACTAAGCCAATCGGGGTATCACATTACTCACAGGGTTTGGTTTAGGGATAGGCCTGCCATCTAAGCTGCTCCAATCATGGAGAATCTAAGAACTTGCAGTGAGAACGCTGAAGCAATGTCACTCTCTTAAACTGGTTGTGCACAAGGAATGCTGCTGGCAGCCAGGTGAGGGTTGCCTAGCCTGTAAATGAAGGAAGTAGGCAGATACAGAGATGGAATCCTTGGTTAATCTACTGGATTAAGTTGATGACTTTGGCAGTGGAGGGATTCTGGACTTTCCGGATACTTGAGCCCATAAATAACCTCCACTATTTAATCAAATTTGACTCTTCAACTTACAACAATAAACATTCTAACTAATCAAATTTGACTCTTTCACTGGCAACAATAAACATTCTAACTGCTGCAGAAGTCACCCAGGCTTCTTATGCTACAGACCAGGTTATTAGGCTGAAAGAAAGAAAGCACTTGTCCAAGATGGCACAGCTGGCTCATGAAAAGTCAAGCCTAGAGTCCAGGATTCTGCCTACCCAGCCTAACTGATCTTGGCAATGCAACATGCTGGGATTCCAAGGTCCCATAGTAATTAAAGTGAAGCTCTAAGATTTCCAAAGTATTTAGAATGTATTCTTTCTGGAAGAGTTGTAGTTAAGTACAAACTTTTAAATATTTAGAAAGAAAAATAGCAAGAGTGAAAACAAATACACTGTGGAATAAACATTTTCACTTTGTATTAGAAAATATATTTGGCTATTTTGAAAAATCTTTGAAGCTGCATGCTTTGGCTTAGATACTTCTCTATACCTCACTGTGCCAGCACCACATTGGTCATATTAGGTACTCAAATTATTCTTTGTTTAATATGTTTTTCTTACTAGGTTTTACATTGTGCATGCAGGAACATTTCCAGCACTCTGCACAGTGTTTGGTGCATGGCAGATTCTAAATAAACATGCATTAATGAAATTGAAGTACGCCACCCTCTGTGCTTGGTACCCAAGGTTCAAGGGCAACTTGCTATGTAACCATGTAACTTGGCCCACTTACATAGTCTGTCTAGAGCAGCACTGTCCAAAAGAAATACATGAGTCTTAAATGTGAGCAGTGCATGTAATTTAAAATTTTATAGTAGACGCATTAATAAAAGTAAAAATAAACCAGTGAAATTAATTTGTATGTATCCCAATATGCCCTAAAATTATCATTTAACATAAAATCAATATAAAAATATTAATGAAATATTACCCTTACAACACAACTTAATTCAGACTAGCCACATATTATGTGGTGACATATCACCAGTGGCTACATTGGACAGCTCAGGGTTGGGCATAATCTATGTCTATGACTATGTATACAAATAATTCTCCATGAGCTAAGTTGTGATAGAATTTCATGTGAAAACCAATCTTTCAGAAATACCAATCTTTCACAGTACCATCACTACATATAAAAGAGTGCTGGTGTTACTTTAAATTCTCTAAAAGTAGTACTTGTCACACTAAAAGCTATGCCTTCACAGTGCCCAAAGATGAAGATGTTAGTATCATTATGGAACAAGATGTCGTTAGCACTCAATACAATTGCCTTTCCATTCAGGATGTTTTTGTTTATTTTTGTTTTTTTATCATGCAAATTTAACTTTTATGGCATAATGAGTCTAGTGGAACAGCCAGTCAGGTGGACTTATGAAGTAATAGAGATTTTTCTGACTGAAGTTAACATAGGACACATTGGAGACACACAGGAGTCAATAGTAATTTTAGCTGGAGGTGGAGAAAGCAGGTAGGAAAGAAATCTCATGGAGGAGAAAAACTTAAAATGATGTTGGAAAATGAGCAGAGAGCCACTAGGACCAAGATAACTAAGTCCACTCTATTCTACTGCTCTGAGCTGTAGTGATGGATAGCAAGTGGGGTAGCAGAGGAAAGGTGGCCTGGGTCCTGTTGGGGCAGCAGCATGGGAAACCTTGCTGAAAAAGGCACAGAGGGAAGCTCTGTGCTTGGGGGATAGTCAGTCAAATGCAAAAGGCCAAAGTGATTGCAATTTACATATTTCCATTTTGAGACTCCACCCCCGCCCCAGCCCCTTTTAACCCATATGGTTTTGATAATTATTTTTAAATGGAAATTCAGAGAGCAGCAGGCAGTAAGTACTTGAATTAGGACTTCATATTGAGAGGCTCCATGGGGCACATGGCAAGTTGTATTTCTTCCTCCCAATAAACCATAGGGGAAAGCTGGCATTTCTAATCCTAATTGTAGGAGTTCTGTTCCCTTTTACTCTGACCATCAATTCTTAAGGAGGAGAAAAAGAGGGCTGGCTGCTTACTCCCGCCTTCAAGATTGCCACTCCCCTGCTATGCACACAATAAACACTTGTTAGAGAGACAGAGTTGGCTTATCTGTAAATAACATCGAGTCCCCAGGACATCGGAACACAGGGTCCCTGGGGAGTCAGCCATTTGGGCTAGCACATTGACAACCTCTAAGTGGTGGCTGTCTCCTAACAAAATAAGTATTCTGAGTTTGTATGTATCACTAGTCTACTGCAGTGATTCCCAAATGCTGATCCACAAAATAGCTCTCTCAGGTCTGAAGAAAATGAATTTTAGAATAATGTAGTGTTTAAATGTGTATGAGAGAAAGGTTGCCAACTATCCTTTCTGGAAAGGATTGTGTTCTTGTTCTATACAGGTCTGTGCTAATTTAAAAGAAAACCATTTTGTTAAATGGGATTTCTAATAGATAACGGTTATTTTTAACATGATTATTTTCTAAAGTACGATGCTAGAAAGCCTATAATAAATTTCCACTTTTAGAAATTTTACTGTTCAGGAAATCCAAAAACCTAGGAACCACTGGGACAGCAAAAACAGTGGCTTGAGAATCAAACCAATGATATAGAACTACATCATTGCTTGACCACTTACAAAGTGATGGCTTTGGGCAAATTATAGTATTTAGCTTCTCTGGGGCTTGTTTTTTCTGTTTAGAGTTGTAATAATTGATGTTTAATTAATAGAGTCTATGTGAAAATTAAATAATATCACATACGTAAAATGTTTCAGAATTAATTTTCCTCCCTCTCTTGCCCTTTTCCACCTAGTTAATGACTACATCCTTTAATGATCAGGAAGGATCTGAAAATTTGGCGTAATAGCCTCCCAAACTCTCTTACATATACGACACTCCCCATAAACAGACAGACAAGATAAGTTAGTCCCCGCTTGACCTGTGTAATCACAAAAGGACACATGTAAATGATTTTAGTACTGGTTATGCTTTAATGAATTTCTATTTATATTACCTTCCACATTGTCTGTGATGGCAAGAGTGAGCCTTTATCTTCTCTTTATCTTCAGCACAAAGTATGGTGCATGTGTCAGAGCAGCTGGCATTTAAATAACTGTAAATGGTACAGGAGGAAGGAACACATGCACATTATTATAGGCATACTGCCATTTCCTGCTGTCATGCAGAAAAGGCTCAAGACTGAACCTCTAGCTTGGTCATGCTATAATTCTGACTGAATACAAACCCATATAAGGACCATGTTAAGTAATAACATGGACTCCCTTGAAGGAAATAAAGTTCTCTTGAAGACAGTGGCAATGAAAGTAGAGAAAAAGGAATACACTGAAGAAACACTGAGGATATAGGAAAAAAATAATTTTTGCTAAAACATCATCTTGCACGTACATTAGTAGCAACCGAGTATTCCTTAGTCTGGAATTAAATTGATTCTACTACCTCCCACCGTGTGATTATTGACAGTTTATGTCTCCTACTGGCATTATGCAAAAGGTGACAGCTGATTAAAGGGAAGATGAGTCACTCAAAAAATCTTGCTTTAGGTAAAGGAATAAATAGAGAAAATATACAATTTTCTTTACTGAGACATTAGATACAAGTAGCATAAGGAATGGTAATTAGAATCAATATACGGTTTTTAAAGAGGGTTAGAAAAACCCATGTAGTTAGGACAATTAATGACATTGTCTAAAAAGAACCTGAAAAGGTCAACTAAATAATTTATCTTAATGTTCACAATAATGAATAAGCCCAAGATTTCAAATGGATTTGATTAAGCACAATCTTCAAGAGTATATTGTTCTTTGATCAACCTGAAAGCCACCTACACAACACAAATTGACATTAGTGCAAGCACTTAATGAAGCAAAAAAAAAAAAAAAAAAAAAAGCAAACCAAATAGGCTATAACATAAAAATAGAAATTCTAGGTTGCTATTGAGCAAATGACATTTTAAATCATCTTACAAAAGAGTCTGACCCAATTCCCAGTAAATGTACATATACCCACATCGCCAAAGTTTTGAGTAGGGGGAGAAGGATAGTAGGAAGTGTTTAGAAGTTTGCACTATGAATCTGAATCCTAGTTTTGGCCTTTATTAGCTGACTTGCTTTGTAAATGTAACAATATCTCTGAATCTCCACTTTCTGAATTGTAGAGATAGAAATGCCTACTTCACAATTTTTTTGATAATATAGAGATAAATGTCAAAAACTCTAACTTTGTTTTTGATGCCTATTGAGTTTTATGAAATATTTTCTCCCCTCCCATACATGAGTTAGTAAGAAGAAGTGGAAAGCACGGCCTTTGAAACTAGAAACCACCACCCTGCCATCTATTGTAACTTTATCTTAGCTTCAGTCCGTGTATTAGTAAAATGTAAAAAAATCAATCATACCGTATTATAAAGGTAGATTTCATAAGTGTTTAACAAATAGTCTTACTTATCTTATGATCTGATTTCTATTCCTTTTTTATTTTCCAAAGGAAAACTTAAAAGTTTTTGTTTGCAGCATCCTAAGCAACAATCAACTCACTTTTTAGTCCTTTCGAATGCCACAATGAAGGGAGAGTTTTCTGACACACAGCCACAAGCATCCCCTGGTATGTACATGTGTCAGTCTTATCCATCACACCTCCTCCTATGCCCAGGGTTGAATGTTTTTCAAGCAATCTGTAGCTTAATTTATGTCAAAGTAATAGAGTGCCAGCAGGATTGTTTTAATGGATTTGGTTTGGATAGACTTTGCCTGCTCAGTAAATCCAGCAAAACATCAGAGCATACTTCACAGCCAGGAAGGATGCTGAGCTTGGCCCTTGTTCCCTCCCTCCCCAACATACTCCTCGCTAAGTTTTTACAATGCTCTCTTACAATAGGCTCATGTACCAAGGCCAAAATTTACATTATATTCTTATGCATAACCAGTTAAATAATCACAATGCTATGCTGATTCACTTAAGTAAAATATTTAAATAAAAATTAATCTTTTAGATGATAATGATAACAATGGGTTGATGATGTTGAGAATGATAACTGGCAGTAGCTGGATTGGGGTGGTGATGGTGGTAGAGATGAAGGCAGTAGCGATGGATGTGCTGATAGTGACGGTGGTGGTTTCACTAGTGGTAGTGAGTTAAGAAGTGTTGGTTGTGGACATTTTTGGTGTGCTTGAGCATTAAGATCCCTGGTTTGTAGCATTTGCCTATTTTTCAAGGAGTGAACACCCCTACCATGGCCTACTTTTGAGCTGCCAGTAAGTCAGTGAATGCTGAATTGGGAAGAGATGTTAACAATTATATCTCATGAGCTGGTATAAGCCAGTTTCAGCACCCCACTAAGAAACAGTGGCGTTAGAAGCTGTGGTGTGGTAGTGATGATGGTGGTAACAGTGGTAATGGTACTAATGGCAGCAGTAGCAGTGATGGCAGATGACACGAACAGTGATGATGATGATGATGGAGATGGTGGTGATGGTGATAACAGTAGTAGATGGTGATGGTGATAGTGGTGGTGATGTTAGTAGTAACGGTGATGATAGTGGAATAGTTGATTGTGGTGGGGGTAGTGATGGTGACATTGGTAATGGTTATGGATATAACAGTGGTCACTTTAGCATAATGCTTTATAATATACAAGGTACTTTTGCTTTACCTTATTTAAATTACTTTATTTAACTCTGAGGTTAAATATTTGGTTAACAATACTTTAATCTCTTTTTACAGACTAGAAAACTGAACCTGAAGGGTTCACTAAGTAAGTCTTAGTGATTAGACTAGGCCTTGAAAGTAGCTCTGCTTTAGAATTCTAGCTTTGCCTCTTCCTGTCTATACAACCTTGCCCATTTGTATCGTCTTTAAAATAGCGAAACTAACGCATTCATTTTAGAATTTGCAGGAAAGTATTAATATATTGAAATTATTTCAAATTGCAATGAGATATGAGATAATATAAGATATAATTACTTGTAATGAAAGGAAAATAAATTTTAACTTCCTAGGGATTATGGGTCTGTTAAATAAAAGATTTTTGTTCATTTATTGTTCGTGTATTATAACATTTTGTTTGTTTTGTTTTTGTCCATTGACTATCGTGAATACTCAACAGATGAGCATTTGTTCCTAAGGACTGAGGAGCATTTACTTGTTTTGTATAATAGGTATAAAAGGATTTAGTTCTCCTCAAATAGTCTTTGAGAGAAGCTGCTAAGAAAAGAGAAGAGGGGTAAGAGCAAGAAGAGTAAACAACAAAGTAGAAATGGGCTGGAATTAGGAGAGAACAGTATAGTAGGCTGAATAATCGCCATTCAAAGATGTCTTGTCCTAATACCTAGAACCTATAAATGCTATCTCAAAAGTAAAAAGAGGGGAATAATGGGGAGGGTTTTCTGCATATGTGGTTGTGAATCTCAGCATAGGAAGATTGCCCTGGATTATCTAGGTAGGTCCTAAAGTAATCACAAATGTCCTTATAAGAAAAGGGCAAAATGATATTGAACAAACATGAAGAAGAGAAAGTGATGTAATGATATAGGCAGAAATTCGAGTAATGCTACCACAAGCAAAGGAATGCCAGAAGCCACCAGAAGCTATAAGAGGAATGGATTCCCCTTAGAACTTGTGGAGAGATTTTGGCCTTGCCAACACACTGATTTGTATCCTAATGATACTAGTTTAGGATTTCCAGCAACTAGAAATATAAGATAATAAATATCTGTTGTTTGTTGTTTTAAGCTACAAAGTTTGTAGTATTTTGTTACAATAGCCACAGAAAACTAATACAAACAGTGAAATTTCTCAGTGTTTCACAAAAGGATCCTAGAAATAGGATGTTTAATATGGATTTTAACATTGTTTGCATTGCTTCACTATTAATCTCATTTCGGCATTCTCCTCCTTAAAAAAATGAAACAACCAACAAACAAAACTTCACCAAAGTGAATTATACCTACAAATGCTTCACTCAAGTGGGTTTGAATTTGTTTTATACTAAAAGGAATGTGAAGATTCATATATGGGACAAGGAACAGCATTACAGACATGGAGCCAAGGAAACATGGATGCCATGACAATGTGAGAAAGATCATTTGAGGCTGGGCACGGTGGCTCACGCCTGTAATCCCAGCACTTTGGGAGGCCGAGGTGGGCGGATCACGAGGTCAGGAGATCGAGACCATCCTGGCTAACACGTTGAAACCCCGTCTCTATTAAAAACACAAAAAATTAGCCGGGCGTGGTGGCGGGCGCCTGTGGTCCCAGCTACTCAGGAGGCTGAGGCAGGAGAATAGAGTGAACCCGGGAGGCAGAGAGAGCAGTGAGCCGAAGCATGCAGTGAGCCAAGATAGCACCACTGCAGTCCAGGCTGGGTGAAAGAGCGAGACTCTGTCTCAAAAAAAAAAAAAAAAAAAAAAAAAAGGAAAGATCACTTGAGAAAACTGGGAAGAGAGAAATTGTTTTTACACAGTCCATAGAGTTGGAGAAGGTTCAGATTAAGAACTTAAGTGGTGGGGGTCACAGGGAAGAAAGTTTCTGTAGTGCGATAGATCCCCCACCAGGTTCCTTAAGGGTGTATGTCTGCTGCCTGAACACTGAAGGCTGGGCCATGGTGCCCATTTGAGAAACAAACACAGAAAGTATTTGAGAACCTACTAAGATGAACAGTCTCATTGCTCAAACAGAGCTGGAAAAGAGCCAGAAAATTAGCTTTAAAGCAGTTTAGAGATGGGAGGCAGCACGGATCTTTAGAGCTATCTTGCTTGCCGTCCAGGTGTGCCCTTTATGTAAGTCCTAATAAATTCATCTACTCATCAAGCTGGACTTGTCCAAGTCATTCGTTGGTCTTTCAACTCCTTTCCAGTTTGGGGGATAGGGGAGAATGTTAGAGTCCCATTTTTTTCTTGCAACAGTCTCTTAAATGGTATGTGAGATACATTAGTTATTATCGTGTTTCATTACTATAATTGTTTGTCTTAGTCAGTTTGGGTTGTCATAACAAAACACCACAAACTGGGTATCTTAAACTACAAATGTGTATTTTTCACAGTTGTAGAGACTGGGAAGTCCAAGATCAAGGTGCCAGCAGATTTGGTTTTTGGTGAGGGCTCTCTTCCCAGTTTGCAGACAGCCACCTTCTTTCCATATCCTCACAAGGCCATGACAGGAAGCTCTGGTATCTCTTCTTCTCAATATAAGAGTGTTAATTCCATCTTGGGGAGTCCACCCTCATGTTCTTATAAAATCTAATTACGTTTCCAAGCCCCTGCCTCCTAATATCATCACCTTGGGAGTTAGGGCTTCAACACATGAATTTTGGAGAGATGTAAACATTCAGTCCTTAACACTGTTTTTATTATTTGTTTAAGGCTATGACAGTTGTTAATAGTAGAGCAAGGGCAAGGAAGTATAGTGATAATGAGTACACAGACTAGAATGAGGTGGAAGATAGTTTGAATTTGTGCTTCACTTAATAGAAACCATGTCCTTGAATCAATTATTTACTGTTATACTTTAATGTCCTCATACATCAAATAAAATAATATCTTCCCTCCTAAGGTTATAGTGAAGACTAAAGTAAATAAAGCATATAAAATGCTTAGCATCAATACTGACACATAATGAATGTTCAACAAAATCTAACTATTATGATTATGATTCTTATTATTTACTTAGATCTTCTTAATATAAATCTAATCTTCACTCAAATCTACTTGATTTGCCACTTTTCTTTGTCTTAATAGTATCTTAATTGGAATCTGCTCAGGTACTCTCTCGAGGATGAGATTTAAATAACCAAATTGTATTGTTCGTGTAGTTTGCATTTAAGCCTGGGAGGCCTGAGGCAGCAGTGTTGAGGAAGCTTTTAAGTCACAGAGGAGAAAAAAGTGTGGCTTACTTTTGTACCAGTAAAACTGAAGACATGAAGAAAAATAATGAAGTCAGAACTTTAGAATTCATGGAGCTAGTCCGAATAGATAATGAAATGTCGTAGGCAAATTTAGGATAGATGCTATAAATTGTGAGTGTATGTATATTAGTTATCTATTATCATGTAACAAATTACACAATAATTTCTGGCTTAAAACAACAAACTGTTACCTCTTAATTTTTATGTGTCAGAAATTCAGGAAGAGTTTACATGGGTGGCTTAGGCTCAGAGTCTCTCATGAAGTTGCAGTCAAGCTGATGGCTAGGGCTATAGAATTCATTTCTAATCACTTGGCTGTGGGCAGGAGGCCTCAGTTCCTCATCATATGGGCCTCTTCACAGGGCTTCTTGAGTCTTTCCATGACACACTGGCTTCCCAAGAGCAAGTGATAAAAGAGAACCAGCAAGGTAGAAGGCATGATGCCTTTTATCATCCAATATTGGAAATGACACACAATAATGTCCACTATATTTGCTAGAAGTGAGTCATTATGTCTGATCCCCACTCCATGGGAGGAAAATTAGACTCTACTCCTTCAGAGAAAGAGTATCAGCTTTTTGGACATATTTTAAAGCCACCACACTGCCAAAGATATAGCCATCCAGGATTAAACAAGTCACGCTGCAATGGACCATGACAAGAAAATTGCCTGACCAAACTAATAGTTATTTCTTTTTTTTTTTGGATTAATATCTGTTTTATTTTATTTAATTTTTATTTATTTTATTTTTTTTACTATACTTTAAGTTTTAGGGTACATGTGCACAATGTGCAGGTTTGTTAACATATGTATACATGTGCAATGTTGGTGTGCTGCACCCATTAACTCTTCATTTGACATTAGGTATATCTCCTAATGCTATCCCTCCCCCCTCTCCCCACCCCACAACAGGCCCCAGTGTGTGATGTTCCCCTTCCTGTGTCCATGTGTTCTCATTGTTCAATTCCCACCTATGAGTGAAAATATGCGGTGTTTGATTTTTTGTCCTTGAGATAGTTTGCTAAGAATGATGGTTTCCAGCTTCATCCATGTCCTTGCAAAGGACATGAACTCATCCTTTTTTATGGCTGCATAGTATTCCATGGTGTATATGTGCCACAATTGCTTAATCCAGTCTATCATTGTTGGACATTTGGGTTGGTTCCAAGTCTTTGCTATTGTGAATACTGCCGCAATAAACATACGTGTGCATGTGTCTTTATAGCAGCATGATTTATAATCTTTGGGTATATAACCAGTAATGGGATGGCTGGGTCAAATGGTATTTCTAGTTCTAGATCCCTGAGGAATCACCACACTGACTTTCACAATGGTTGAACTAGTTTACAGTCCCACCAACAGTGTAAAAGTGTTCCTATTTCTCCACATCCTCTCCAGCACCTGTTGTTTCCTGACATTTTAATGATTGCCATTCTAACTGCTGTGAGATGGTATCTCATTGTGGTTTTGATTTGCATTTTTCTGATGGCCAGTGATGACGAGCATTTTTTCATGTGTCTTTTGGCTGCATAAAGGTCTTCTTTTGAGAAATGTCTGTTCATATTCTTGGCCCACTTTTTGATGGGGTTGTTTTTTTCTTGTAAATTTGTTTGACCTCATTGTAGATTCTGGATATTAGCCCTTTGTCAGATGAGTAGATTGTAAAAATTTTCTCCCATTCTGTAGGTTGCCTGTTCACTCTGATGGTAGTTTCTTTTGCTGTGCAGAAGCTCTTTAGTTTAATTAGATCCCATTTGTCAATTTTGGCTTTTGTTGTCATTGCTTTTGGTGTTTTAGACATGAAGTCCTTGCCCATACCTATGCCCTGAATGGTATTGCCTAGGTTTTCTTCTAGGGTTTTTATGGTTTTAGGTCTAACATTTAAGTCTTTAATCCATCTTGAATTAATTTTTGTATAAGGTGTAAGGAAGGGATCCAGTTTCAGCTTCTACATATGGCTAGCCAGTTTTCCCAGCACGATTTATTAAATAGGGAATCCTTTCCCCATTGTTTGTTTTTGTCAGGTTTGTCAAAGATCAGATAGTTGTAGATATGTGGCATTATTTCTGAGGGCTCTGTTCTGTTCCATTGGTCTATATCTCTGTTTTGGTACCAGTACCATGCTGTTTTGGTTACTGTAGCCTTGTAGTATAGTTTGAAGTCAGGTAGCGTGATGCCTCCAGCTTTGTTCTTTTGGCTTAGGATTGACTTGGCAATGTGGGCTCTTTTTTGGTTCCATATGAACTTTAAAGTAGTTTTTTCCAATACGGTGAAGAAAGTCATTGGTAGCTTGATGGGGATGGCATTGAATCTATAAATTACCTTGGACAGTATGGCCATTTTCATGATATTCATTCTTCCTACCCATGAGCATGGAATGTTCTTCCATTTGTTTGTATCCTCTTTTATTTCATTGAGCAGTGGTTTGTAGTTCTCCTTGAAGAGGTCCTTCACATCCCTTGTAAGTTGGATTCCTAGGTATTTTATTCTCTTTGAAGTAATTGTGAATGGGAGCTCACTCATGATTTGGCTCTCTGTTTGTCTGTTACTGGTGTATAAAAATGCTTGTGATTTTTGCACATTGATTTTGTATCCTGAGACTTTGCTGAAGTTGCCTATCACCGTAAGGAGATTTTGGGCTTAGATGATGCGGTTTTCTAGATATACAATCATGTCATCTGCCAACAGGGACAATTTGACTTCCTCTTTTCCTAATTGAATACCCTTTATTTCCTTCTCCTGCCCGATTGCCCTGGCCAGAACTTCCAACACGATGTTGAATAGGAATGGTGAGAGAGGGCATCCCTGTGTTGTGCCAGTTTTCAAAGGGAATGCTTCCAGTTTTTGCCCATTCAGTATGATATTGGCTGTGGGTTTGTCATAGATAGATCTTATTATTTTGAGATACATCCCATCGATACCTAATTTATTGAGAGTTTTTAGCATGAAGGTTGTTGAATTTTGTCAAAGGCCTTTTCTGCATCTATTGAGATGATCATGTGGTTATCAATGAGACAGAAAGTTAACAAGGATATCTAGGAACTGAACTCAGCTCTGCACCAAGTGGACCTAATAGAAATCTACAGAACTCTCCACCCCAAATCAACAGAATATACATTCTTTTCAGCACCACGCCACACCTATTCCAAAATTGACCACATAGTTGGAAGTAAAGCACTCCTCAGCAAATGTAAAAGAACAGAAATTACAACAAACTGTATCGCAGACCACAGTGTAATCAAACTAGAACTCAGGATTAAGAAACTCATTCAAAACCACTCAACTACATAGAAACTGAACAACCTGCTCCTGAATGACTACTGGCTACATAATAAAATGAAGGCAGAAATAAAGATGTTCTTTGAAACCAATGAGAACAAAGACACAACATACCAGAATCTCTGGGACATATTCAAAGCAGTGTGTAGAGGGAAATTTATAGCACTAAATGCCCACAAGAGAAAGCAGGAAAGATCTGAAATTGACACCCTAACATCACAATTAAAAGAACTAGAGAAGCAAGAGCAAACACATTCAAAAGCTAGCAGAAGGCAAGAAATAACTAATATCAGAGCAGAAATGAAGGAAATAGAGACACAAAAAACCCTTCAAAAAATCAATGAATCCAGGAGCTGGTTTTTGAAAAGATCAACAAAATTGATAGACCACTAGCAAGACTAATAAAGAAGAAAAGAGAGAAGAATCAAATAGATGCAATAAAAAATGATAAAGGGGATATCACCACAGATCCCACAGAAATACAAACTACCATCAGAGAATACTATAAACACCTCTATGCAAATAAACTAGAAAATCTAGAAGTAATGGATAAATTCCTCAACAGATACACCCTCCCAAGACTAAACCAGGAAGAAGCTGAATCTCTGAATAGACCAATAACAGGCTCTGAAATTGAGGCAATAATTAATAGCTTACCAACCAAAAAGAGTCCAGGACCAGATGGATTCACAGCCTTATTCTACCAGAGGTACAAGGAGGAACTGGTACCATTCCTTCTGAAACTATTCCAATCAATAGAAAAAGAGGGAATCCTCCCTAACTCATTTTATGAGGCCAGAATCATCCTGATACCAAAGCCTGGCAGAGACACAACAAAAAAAGAGAATTTTAGACCAATATACCTGATGAACATCAATTCAAAAATCCTCAATAAAATACTGGCAAACTGAATCCAGTAGCACATCAAAAAGCTTATCTACCATGATCAAGTGGGCTTCATCCCTAGGATGCAAGGCTGGTTCAACATACGCAAGTCAATAAACGTAATCCAGCATATAAACAGAACCAACGACTAAAAGTTATTTCTAATATTTGCTTAGTCTCCTTATATTCCTTCTTCTTTCCCTACTTTTTAATTTATTTTTCTTTCTTCTTAATAAAGGAAATCTAAATTTCTACTAGCATAAAGGAGATAGAAAAGGAGAGACAAAATTGCAAAAAATAAAGCATTCGCACTGGGAAAATACAGGGACAATTCACCTAGTTTAGAAAGACAGCTGTTGTGTTCATAAAACTTTCCTAGGATTAATAAGCATAATTAGTAATAAGTGATAGCAGTACTGTAACACAGAAACACACAGAAAAGGATTCTGTCTGTCCAGACAGGGGTTATTTTCTTAGCTACACCAACCGGAACTATAGCCTCTTTGTATTAGTCTGAGTTTTCCAGAGAAATGGAACCAATTGGATATATATACATAAGGAGATTTATTATGGGAATTGCTTTATGCCATTATGGAGGCCCAAAAGTGCCAACATATGTCATATACCAGCTGAAGACTCAGAAAAGCCAGTGATATAATTCAATCCAAACCTAAAGACCTGCTTACACTTCCTCCATTGTTCTATTCAGGTGGTTCTTCAAAGGATTGGATAATGCACACCCACATTGGCAAGGGAATTTTCTTTACTAGGTCTATTGATTCAAATGCTAACCTCTTCCAGAAACACCTTCACAGGGACATTCAGAAATAATGTTTTACCAGCTATCTCGGTACCCCTTAACCCGGTGAAGTTGACACATATAATTAAACATCATAATCCTTTTATTTGATTGAACAGTAATGTCCATTCTTTAGAAAGAGAAACTGGAGACTGTTGTTAAGAGTGCACTGTAGAGGCTTCAGTGACAAGTGTGGTTACTTTGTCCCTTTAGAATTACATAACAGTGAACCACAGCTCTGCAAAGAGTTTAACCCCATCCTGAGAAGGCTGCATATGTGTATTTGGTTTCACAGTATTTATAGCTCTGTAGTTGCTTCTAGCTTTTGAATCCCCTGGAAATCTCCATCAAACTTGTGTCTTAAACCACATGAGAATTCTTTTCTCTCTGTTTCATGCTAAGCCATGTTTCTATATTAAATTGGGATGGTCCTACTCTTCCTACATACTCAGAACAGTCTAAAAACAAATGTTTTTTGCCAAGGGGAACTAACTGGGCAATCCATAAATTCAGTCTATTGGGAGTATTTGGAGAAGGAAGAAAAGAAGTGTAGAAAATCCCACTGACTGAGTAAAAGCCAAGGAGAATTCATGACCTCAAAAGACTATGGAGCTCAGACAACACCAGTAATTATGGATTCTAGTCGATTTTGAAAATTCGAGTGAGCTGACTTCCTGATGACTCTCACAGAAGGCAGCCATCACATTAAGAGGAAACTTGAACTGCAATCCCTCATTTTCTTTTCATTTTTATGAAAAAAAAAAAAAAGTCAGCTTAATGGGAACTGATAAGAGAGCCAAATCACTGAAATATGAAAATCACAGAATTAGCATTTATCCAAATTCTTCAGTTGAGCCTATCATGGAAAGAGCTTGTTTAATCACATCAAGTTGCTGCTTCTTGACTGTGGAGTTTCTTATGAGCTAAAACACCCCTTATTCTTATGGGCAAAAATTAATGACTTGACCAAAGAATCAGATTAGTGAAGCAAAGAGCCTTTGAAGATCTCCAGGAAAAACCTCCTCAAATTTTCAAGTTGTCATTCCATGAAACAAACTTCAGTACTAAATGCTTTGGAATTAGTCAGTCTAATGATTGCCTCCATGTCTCCTGTTCTCAGACACAAAATCCTGCTCTCTTAAAATGGTTTTGCATGAGGTCCTGGTCAGTTTGCATGGCCACTATTCTCTTTCCCAATGAACTTTATGGAAGATAAATGATATCCACTGACTTTATAAGAAATAAGTGAAGTATGTCCATTGTTTTGTCTTTAAAGGCTGCTGTTATGGTGGGCTTCTCTCTGCCATTGTGGAGTCCAAAAGTTTTCTGGCATTTAGCTGATCTGTCTCACTTAAGAATTATTTAATTTTAATTCTCGGTTTTCTATGTGAAGATATAATATTTTCATGAGAAGTAAATTCTAATTGCACTGATCAGGTGTTTTATTCCCAAACTGCTATGCAGTTTTTGAATTATCATGTAAATTCTCTTTGTCCTGTTGAAAATTACTTGTTTACCCTGATCTTAGAAATGATCGCTTGGAGAGTAAAGATGGTAAAAGCTTTGGGTAGCATATATGAAATATTAGTTTGGCAGAACTGAAGGGGAAACTTCAGTGTGCAATGAACAGCTATAGGTAGTAAAACTCTGCTGTGATTAATACATGCCAGGGTAGGTCACAACATAGCAGAGTTCTGTGATCTCTTTCCATCACACCATGCTAAAACATCCAGCTCCTTCTACATCAACAGACTCAGAGATGTCACTCAACAATTCCAGATGTGATTTGTCTCAGCCTACTCTATTTCACTTAAAGCTGCATAGAAAATTTATTTGTTCCTCTGCTATCTATTTTTCCCCCTTCTTTGGCCTAATCCAATATTTATAATTATTTTCAAAGTTCAATTTTTATCTTCTAAATTTATCTGTATATAAATATATTCATATATAAATGCACATACTGTAAAAGCAATCTTCATTATTCATGGATTCCATATTTGAAAATTTGCCTACTTGTTAACATTTATTTGTAACTCCAAAATCAATATTTGTCCTTTCAAGGTCATTCACATACATGTATAGAGCATGGAAAAAATTGTCATGTAATATGCAAGTTCCCAGCTGAAAAAATTTGAGTCATATGACGTGCAAGTTCCCACACTGAACAAGGTGTTGCCCTGCTTTCTTGTTTTAGCCCTCACTCTGTAAATAAATGTCTTTCTCACGGTATATTTATTTAATGCCAAATTTTTGGAACTTTTGTGCCTTCTTTATTGGTGATTTTCCTGTTTAAATTGGGCCCAAGGTATAGTAGAGAAGTGCTGTCTAGTGTTCCTAAGTGCAAGAAGGCTGTAATGTGCCTATGAAGAGAATACATGTGTTAGGTGGTGTTTGTCAGGCAGGAGTTATAGCGCTGTTGGCCATAAGGTCAATATTAATGAATCAAAAATATATATTAAATAAGATATCTCTAAACAAAAACACACATAAGACAAGGTCAAATATTGATCAGTAGACAGTATATAACCAGAGTCTCATAGGAACCTAACCCTATATTTCCCCTAGGAACAATGGTTCCTAGCCTTCAGTAATTCAATATTCTTGGCTAATTTATAGAACATAACTACTTTGAATAACATTAATTGACTGAACAGGAAGTTTATAATTACTTAAGTTTATAAATACTTAAAATATAGGTATTAATGTGGAGTAGAGGAGGGAGATTGACCTAAGAGTCAAGAAGTGAGTATTTTAGCTACAGGCTCATAATTGACCTAATTATTTTTCTACTCAGACTCAAGTACTACATTTCACTCAAAACCTGGTAAAACACAAAGAAAAAATATGTATACACATACATCAAAAAGAAATAGAGTTATATTTAATGATCAACTTTCCTTCCTTCTTCTTTTGCTGCTTCTCCTCTAGTGTAGAGATTTAATTTCTAATAAATTATTATTAATTGGCAAGATGGCCAAATAGAAACAGCTCCCATTTGCAGCTCCCAGTAAGACAAAATGCAGATGGGTGATTTCTGCATTTCCAACTGAAGTACTCAGTTCATCTCCTTGGGACTGGTTAGGCATTGGGTGCAACCCACGGAGACTGAACAAAGCAGGGTGGGGCTTCGCTTCACCTGGGAAGTACACGGAGCCAGGGGACCTCCCTCCCCCAGCCAAGGGAAGTGGTGAGGGACTGTGCTACCCACCACGGGTACTATGCTTTTCCCATGGATTTTTGCAATCCATGGATCAGGAGATTGCCTCATGAGCCTACACCATCAGGGCCCTGGGTTTCAAGCACAAAACTGGGTGGCTGTTTGGGCAGGCACTGAGCTGCAGGAGTTTTTTCATACTCCAGCTGCACCTGGAAGTCCAGAGAGACAGGAGAACTGTCCAGTCCCCTGGAAAGTGGGCTGAAGCCAAGGAGCCAAGCGGTCTCGCTCAGCATGTCCCACTCCCCTGGAACCCAGCAAGCTAAGAACCACTCACTTGAAATTCTCACTGACAGCACAGCAGTCTGGAGTTGACCTGGGACTATTGGCTTGGTCGGGGGAGGGATGACTGACATTACTGTGGCTTTAGTAGACAGTTTTCCCCTGACAGTGCTAAGGAGACTGGGAGGTTCCGACTTTGCAGTGCAGCAAAGCAGCTGTGGCCAGACTGTTTCTTTAGATTTCTCCTCACTGGGCAAAGTATCTCTGCAGGAAATCCAGCAGCTCTAGTCACGTGCTTACAGACAAAACTCTCATCTCCCTGGGACAGAGCATCTGGCTTGTGGCAGCGGCGGTTGGCATCACAGCTTCAGCAGAGTTAATCTTTCCTGCCTGCCGGCTCTGAAAAGAGCGGCCGATTCTGACAAAGGGGATTCTCCCAGCACAGCGCACCAGTTCTGCTAAGGGACAGACTGCCTTCTTAAGTGGGTTCCTGACCCCTGTGCCTCCTGACTGGGAGAGAACTCCCAACAGGGGTGGACAGACACCTCATACAGGAGAGCTCCAGCTGCCATCAGGCTGGTGCTTCTCTGGGATGAGGCTTCCAGAGGAAGGAGCACGCAGCAATCTTTGCTGTTCTGCAGCCTCCACTGGTGATACTCAGGCAAACAGAGTCTGAAGTGGGCATCCAACAAAGTGCAGTAGACTTGCAGAAGAGGGTCCTGACTGTTAGAAGAAAAACTAACAAACAGAAAGCAACAACAATGACATCAACAAAAAAGACCTCCCCACAAAAACCTCATCCAAAGGTCATCAGCCTCAAAGAGCAAAGGTAGATAAATCCACGAAGATGAGGACAAACAAGTGCAAAAACACTGAAAATTCCAAAAGCCAGATGGCTCTTCTTCTCCAAATGATCGCAACACCTCTTCTGGGAGGGTGCAAAGCTGGACACAGAATGAGATTTACAAATTGACAGAAGTAGGCTTCAGAAGGTGGGTAATAACAAACTCCTCTGAGCTAAAGGAGCATGTTCTAACCCAATACAAAGAATCTAAGAGCATGAATAAAAGGTTACAGGAGCTGCTAACTAGAATAACCAGTTTAGAGAGAAACATAAATGACCTGATGGAGCTGAAAAACACAGCACGAGAACTTTGTGAAGCATACATAAGTGTCAATAGCTGAATCAATCAAGCAGAAGAAAGGGTATAGAGTTAGAAGACTACATTGCTGCAATAAGACATGCAGACAAGATTAGGGAAAAAAGAATGCAAAGGAATGAACAAAACCTCCAAGAAATATGGGACTATGTGAAAAGACCAAACCTATGGTTGATTGGAGTACCTGAAAGAGATGAGGAGAATGGAACCAAGTTGGAAAACATAGTTCAGGATATTATCCAGGAGAACTTCACCAACCTAGCAAGACAGGCCAACATTCAAGTTCAGGAAATAAAGAGAACACCACTAAGATACTCCACGAGAAGATCAACCCCAAGAAATATAATCATCAGACTCTCCAAGGTTGATATGAAGGAAAAAATGACAAAGGCAGCAAGAGTGAAAGGTCAGGTCACCTACAAAGGGAAGCCCATCAGACTAACAGTGGATCTCTCAGCAGAAACCCTACAGGCCAGAAGAATGTGGGGGCCAATAGTCAACATTCTTAAAGAAAAGAGTTTTCACCCCAAATTTCATATCCGGCCAAACTAAGCTTCATAAGCGAAGGAGAAATAAAATCCTCTCCAGACAAGCAAATGCTAAGGGATTTTGTCACCATCAGGCCTGTCTTGCAGGAGCTCCTTAAGGAAGCACTAAATATGGAAAGGAAAAACTGGTACCAGCCACTGCAAAACCACACCACAATATAAAGACCAATGACACTATGAAGAAACTGCATCAACTAGTGTGCAAAATAACCAGCAAACATCATGATGACAGGATCAAATTCACACATAAGAATATTAACCTTAAATGTAAATGGCCTAAATGCTCCACTTAAAAGACACAGACTGGCAGATTGGATAAAGAGTCAAGATCCATCGGTGTCTGTATTCAGGAGATCCATCTCACATGCAAAGACACACATAGGCTCAAAATAAAGGGATGGGGGAATAGCTACCAGGCAAATGGAAAGCAAAAAATAAAAATAAAAAACAAAAAGTCAGGAGTTGCAATCCTAGTCTCTGATAAAACAGACTTTAAACCAACAAAAATCAAAAAAGACAAAGAAGGGCATTACACAATGGTAAAGGGATCAATGCAACAAGAAGAGCTAGCTACCCAATATAGGAGCACCCAGATTCATAAAACAAGTTCTTAGAGACCTATAAAGAGACTTAGACTCCCACACAATAATAGTGGGAGACTGTAACACCCCACTGTCAATATTAGACAGATCAATGAGACAGAAAATCTATAAGGCTATTCAGGACTTGAACTGTGCTCTGGATCTTGTGTACCTAATAGACATCTACAGAACTCTGCACCAAAAATCAACAGAATATACATTCTTCTCAGTGCCACATGGCACTTATTCTAACATTGACCACATCATTGGAAGTAAAACACTCCTCAGCAAATGGAAAAGAATGGAAATCATAACAAACAGTCTCTCAGTCCACAGTGCAATCAAATTAGAACTCAGGATTAAGAAATTCACTCAAAATCACACAATTACATGGAAACTGAACAACCTGCTCCTGAATGACTCCCGGGTAAATAACAAAATTAAGGTAGAAATAAATTAGTTCTTTGAAACCAATGAGAACAAAGAGACAACTTACCAGAATCTCTGGGACACAGCTAAAGCAGTGTTAAGAGGAAAATTTATAGCACTAAATGCCCACATCAGAAAGTGGGAAAGATCTCAAGTCAACACCCTAATACCACAATTAAAAGAACTAGAGAAGCAAGAGCAAACAAATTCAAAAGCTAGCAGAAGACAATAAATAACTAAGATCAGAGCAGAACTGAAGGAGACAGAGACATGAGGAGCCCTTCAAAAAAATCAGTAAATCCAGGAGCTGGTTTTTTGAAAAAATTTACAAAATTGATAGACTATTACTTAGACTACTAAAGAAAAAAGGAGAGGAGAATCAAATAGACACAATAAAATATGATAAAGGGGATGTCACTACTGACCCCACAGAAATACAAAGTACAATGAGAGAATACTATAAACACCTATATGGAAATAAACTAGAAAATCTAGAAGAAATGGTTAAATTCCTGGACACATACACCCTCCCAAGACCGAAACGGAAGAAGTTGAATCCCTGAATAGACCAATAACAAGTTGTGAAATTTAGGCAGTAATTAATAGCCTACTAACCAAAAAAAGGCCAGGATCAGAGGGATTCACAACTGAATTCTACCTGAAGTACAAAGAGAAGCTGGTACCATTCCTTCTGAAAGTATTCCAAACAATTTAAAAGGAGGAACTCCTCCCTAACTCATTTTATGAGGCCAGCATCATCCTGATACCAAAACCTGGCAGAGACACAACAAAAAAAGAAAACTTCAGGCCAATATCCCTGATGAACATTAATGCGAAAACCCTCAATAAAATACTGGCAAACTGAATCCAGCAGCACATCAAAAAGCTTATCCACCATAATCAAGTCAGCTTCATCGCTGGGATGCAAGGCTGGTTCAACATATGCAAATCAATAAATGTAATCCATCACATAAACAGAACCAATGGCAAAAAACTCATGATTATCTCAACAGCTGCAGAAAAGGCCTTTGATAAAATTCAACATCCCTTCATGTTAAAAACTCTCAATAAACTAGGTACTGATGGAACATATATCAAAGTAATAAAAGCTATTTATGACAAACCCACAGCCAATATCATACTGAATGGGCAAAAGCTGGAAGCATTTTCTTTGAAAACTGGCACAAGACAAGGAGGGCCTCTCTCACCATTCCTATTCAACATAGTATTGGAAGTTCTGGCCAGGGCAAGCAGGCAAGAGAAAGAAATAAAGCCTATTCAAATAGGAAAAGAAGAAATAAAATTGTCTCTGTTTGCAGATGACATGATTCTATTTTTATTGTCTCAGCCCAAAAAACTCCATAAGCTGATGAGCAACTTCAGCAAGGTCTCAGAATACAAAATCAATGTTCAAAAATCACAAGCATTCCGATATACCAACAATAGACAAGCAGAGTGCCACATCATGAATGAAATCCCATTCACAGTTGCTACAAAGAGAGTTCAATACCTAGGAATACAACTTACAAGGGACATGAAGAACGTCTTCAAGGAGAACTACAAACCAATGCTCAAGGAAATAAGAGAGGACAAAAACAATGGAAAACGTTCCATGCTCATGAATAGGAAGAATCAATATCATGAAAATGACCATACTGCCCAAATTAATTTATAGATTCAATGCTATTCCCACCAAACTACCATTGATTTTCTTCACAGAATTAGAAAAATCTACTTTAAATTTCACATGGAACCAAAAAAGAGCCTGTATAGCCAAGACAATCCTAAGCAAAAAGAACAAAGCTGGAGGCATCACACTACCTGACTTCAAACTATACTACAAGGCTACAGTAACCAAAACAGCAAGGTACTGGTACCGAAACAGACATATAGACCAATGGAACAAAACAGAGACCTCCAAAATAACACCACACATCTACAACCATCTGATCTTTGATAAACCTGACAAAAACCAAGCAGTGGGGAAAAGATTCTCTGTTTAGTAAATGGTGCTGGGAAAACTGGCTAGCCATATGCAGAAAACTGAAATTTACACCTTATACAAAAATTAACTCAAGATGGATTAAAGACTTAAATGTGAAACCCCAAACCATAAAATCCCTAGAAGAAAACCTAGGCAATACCATTCAGGACATAGGCATGGGCAAAGGCTTCATGACTAAAACACCAAAAGCAATTGCCACAAAAGCCAAAATTGACAAATGGCATCTAATTAAACTAAGGAGCTTCTGCACAGCAAAAGAAACTAGCATCAGAATGAATAGGCAACCTACAGAACAGGAGAAAATTTTTGAAATCTGCCCATCTGAGAAATGTCTAATATCCAGAATCTACAAGGAACTTAAACAAATTTACAAGAAAAAAACAAACAACTCTATCAAAAAGTGGGCAAAGGATATGAACAGACACTTCTCAAAAGAAGACATTTATTTGGCCAACAAATATATGAAAAAGAAGCCGATCGTCACTGATCATTTGAGAAATGCAAAACCACAATGTGATACCATCTCACGCCAGTCAGAATAATGATTATTAAAAAGTCAAGAAACAATAGATGTTGGCGAGGCTGTGGAGAAATAGTAACACTTTTCCACTGTTGGTGGGTATGTAAATTAGTTCAACCATTGTAGAAGACAGTGTGTTGATTCCTCAAGGTTCTAGAACCAGAAATACCATTTGACCCAGCAATCCCATTACTGGGTATATACCCAAAGGAATATAAATCCTTCTACTATAAAGACACATGCACACATATGGTTATTGCAGCACTATTTACAATAGCAAAGACTTGGAACCAACCCAAATGCCCATCAATGATAGACTGTCTAAAGAAAATGTGGTACATACACACCACGGAATACTATGCAGCCATAATAAGAAATGGGACCATGTCCCTTGCAGGGACATGGATGAAACTGGAAGCCATCATCCTCAGCAAACTAACACAGAAACAGAAAACCAAACACCACGTGTTCTCACTTATAAGTAGGAGTTGAACAATGAGAACACATGGACACAGGGAGGGGAACAATGCATACCAGGGGATGGGGAGCTAGGGGAGGGAGAACATTAGGACAAACACCTAATGCATACGGGGCTTAAAACCTAGATGACAGGTTGATAGGTGCAGCAAACCACCATGGCACATGTATACCGATGTAACAAACCTGCATGTTTTGCACGTGTGTCCCGGAACTTAAAGTAAAAATTTTTTAAAAAGCCAAAAAATATTATTAATTGGATGTGATTTTGTTTTTGGGTTGTTTTGTGGAAAAAGAACTTATTCAGAGATAAATACTAAAATATTTATACACAAATTGCTTTGATGTTTGGAATTTGCCTTAAAATAATTCAAAACGGTTAAGAAATGAAATGACCTGATACATGTTGGAGCTGGATGATGGATACCTGAGGTCCTTTATTCTCTTATCTCTATTTTGTATACTTCTGAAATTTTCCACAGTAAAAAGTTGCAAAAATGAGGAATAAAGTAAGAATTACCGTTCTTCTGTGCCAAAATCCATACTTGGAGGCTTATATGTGCTGTGTGTTTTAAATATACAGTTTTCATTCTTTTAAATCTTTCTATTATCTATTACATAGTAGCTTGTAACTACCATGAATAAATGTTTCCCATTTCTTATATGTTAAATATTTCTTCTATTTTTTTTTTTTTTTTTTTTTTGAGACGAAGTCACGCTATCTTGGCTCACTGCAAGCTCCACCCCCCGGGGTTCACACCATTCTCCTGCCTCAGCCTCCCAAGTAGCTGAGACTACAAGCGCCTGTCACCACGCCCAGCTAATTTATTATTGTATTTTTAGTAGAGATGGGGTTTCACCGTGTTCACCAAGATGGTCTCTATCTCCTGACCTCGTGATCCGCCCGCCTCGGCCTCCCAAAGTGCTGGGATTACAGGCGTGAGGCACCGCGCCTGGCCATTATTTCTTCTATTCTTATGGTGTGTTCCATATACATTTTAAATATGTGTTTTCAGGATCCCTTTGATGGTTAATTTTATCTGTCAACATGACTGGGGTTAAAAATGCCCATATAGCTGGTAAAACATTATTTCTGGGTATGTCTGTGAGAGTGTTTTGGAAGATATTAGAATTTAACTCATTCAATTAAGTAACAAAGTTCCCCTTCATCAAATGTGATCCCAGCGGTTGGGACTTTTGGTGATGAGGCACAAATGAACACATTTCTGGAGTTAACATCTGAAAAGGAAAATGTCCACAATCACGTTTGGGCAAGACTTCAGAACTCAGATCTAGATACGGAAGACAGAAACATTCATAATGTAACGACGATTTCTTCTTGAAATAAATTTTATCATTTTTAAACTTAGAATTATGATATATTTGAGTCTGAAAAGGCCCTAGATATCCAGTTTTCTTATACTTTAAGAAAATTAATCCAAGAGAGAGAAAATAGATAAATATGAAGACCACATCTCCTAATTTCCAAACATAATCTCTTTCTCTTCCTCACATAGATTTATTTACAGCATGCTGAAGAATATATTAGAACTTCTAGGCAACTTGGAAGAAAGAATAAATGAATGTGCATAAACACGTACATGAACGCAGACACACTATGCACACAAACGCAGATTAATATAAGACATTTAAATTAACTAAAATGTTCCTCAACTTAAACCCCAAATAGGCATAGGTCAGCTGGAGATGGTTTTATCTAAATCTGTTTGCAAATCCATAATTAAATCCATGCACACTGGCAGCAACACAAAATATAACCCTATGGTATTACACTTGGTTAAGGATTAATTAGATTAAAAGCTTCTAAGACGAATTCATTGAGATAAGAAATGATAATTTGGGAGTCTACAAAACAGAATTCTTCTTACCATATTGCTTTTCTGAAGAAAGTTTTAATTACCTCTTTTTAGCCAAATATAGAAGTATCTTTTCAGCTTAAAATATCTACTGAGGGAAGAAAAAATTCTGTTGAGATTCAATATCTACTTAACACAGAAAAATATTCTACCATGCAATTAAAACATTAAATATGAATAAGTGAAAGGCATACCATGACAGATGCTGTGAGTCAATGTAATACCCCTGTCTATTTTTCCAAAACTCAATCATCATTTGCTAACTTAGATGAATATTTCTTTTCAGGGGGAAAAAAAGAAAACCAACACCAAAAATAAAAACCGAAATACCTTAAGAAACTAATCTGCTTGTATTAAAATGAAGTGCTTCAGTATTAGCCAGTAATGAACTCCATTGTGCTTTAGACTTTAGAGTTTGCTTGTATTGCCACGTACTTAAGTTACAAAGGCCTCATAAACAGAGCAAAGTTAGGGAGAACTAGGATGGCACTGGTAGAGTGATAGAACTCAACAGAAAGTTACCAAAAAATTATAATTAAAACTCTAATACATAATAACTGATATTTTAAACTAATCAAAAATAAAATTGTAGGTGTATGGATTTATGAAATTTTGAAAAAAAGGTGAGTCAAATTTTATACCATATATCATAATCAATTTAAGATAAAATATACATTTGAAAAAATAAAGCCCCAAGTACTTTAGAATATATAGAGATTTTATTTTTATAATTTTGGGGGTAAGAAAGTCATGATAAACATTATACAAAGGAAGAAACAAACAAAATACTGATTGATTTGGCTGTTTAATGTGACTGCTTCATGTTCACAGGTAATAAATAAAATCAAAACTCAAAAAACAAAAAATGTAACCAATCAAATTTTTTTATGTGAATAACAGATGAAAAGTTTCTAAAATTATATAAACTTTTTAAATTTTCATACCTGTATGGGCAAAGATATGGGACAGCAATTTATAAATAAATAATTATTTAAGTAACAAACATTAAACAGGGGCTGATTGCAGTAGCTCATGCCTGTAACACTTTAGGAGGTCAAGGGAGGAGACTCACTTGAGGCTAGGAGTTCAAGACCAGCCTGTACAACACAGGGAGACCCTCCTTCCTAAAAAAAAAAAAAAAATTTTTTAATTAGCCAGGCATGGTAGCACACATCTACCATGTGGCCGAGACAGGAGGATTGTTTGAGCCCAGGAGTTGGAGGTTACAATGCTAGGATCACACCACTGTACTCCAGGCTGAGTGACGGAGTGAGACCCTGTCTCAATTAAGAAAACAAATGAACAATGTATCAACCTTGATAAGTAATCAGAAGATACAAATTAGGCAATCAAATATGATTTTCACCTATAAAATTGAAAAAAGAAAATTTACAATGTGAAGGGGAGTATAACCTACTAAACATTCTCATACACAGCTTACGGAAGTTGAAATTGACCCAACATTGTGGGGAGAGTGCTGTCAAAATATATACAAAATGTAATGTAAAGCTATTTTATTTTGGGATTTTTTTCAATAAAACAATGAAAATTATAATACATCAGAGCAAACACTAATTTACTTATAATACTCTTACTGTGTGTCATGCACCATTCTTTGTACTTCACCTACATTAAATCCTTAACCTCAAGCCTAAGTTAAGTCCCATTATTATCACCCCATTTTACAGATAAGAAAAGAGAGACAGTGTGAGGAACAAGACACTGGTCTGCTGTTCCTTTTCTATTTGTTTTCCACTTCTAGCTCCAATTTAATTTTCCTGTTGTTCTAATTGTCCATAATTGATGATATTCAGCTATACTCAAAACAACTTTGTAAAAATGTAGAACTATATATATATACACATATATGTGTGTGTATGTATAAATATATGTATCTGTGTATAATATATATGTTTATATACCAATTGTTTGAATATCCCTGATTTTTACAATGTTCTTATAGCCAAGGAAACAAAGTATAGACTAGTTGTACATTTTGCCTAAGTTTTGACTTGTGAATCTGTTAGTTTTCTCCTAGACCCAGTTTTGTGCTAGAGACAGCCAGTACCAATTCACGAGAGTCAGCAGTTAAATTTTCTTCAAAATTGAAAGCCATTATTTAAAACTAAGTTATATGAATTTAAAAATAAATACAAGCGATAAATACTCAAAATTCATTATTGTATAATAATTTTATCATAATGTGATGATTATTTACATCTATTATCCCTGTGTAGTGGAATTATTTTATAATTGTGTCCCACTGCTCATCTTTTCTTAATTCTGAAGTCAGCTATGTCTTGTTGAGAGCTTGAAAATTGGTGTGGCAATAGCATTTTCATCAAAGTCATCAGTGAAGTCTACAAATCAGTGTGGGATTTATTGTTTTGTTAATTGTGTAGATTTTTAAAAGTGCTGAAGAAAATATTAATAAAGCAGAATAAATTTTAAAATGCACAATGTCTGTAGCCTTTACATCATGAATAGCAAAAATAAATGGAGGAAATACTCCTCCAGCAGTTGAATTGTATTAATTAATGAGCAAAGAAGTCCCTCACTGTCATTGAAAAATGAGCGAAATTCCTACACAGGTCCTCATTGTTTCACTTCTGCATTACCCGTTAACATAAGCAAGATATCAACTAAAATTGATAGAATTTTGCTCATTTTTCAGTTCCCATTTTCTGTAGTTTTTAAATGTCTTTTGGAGTTTTAAAACGTATTTAAGCGTAAGTTGTTCTGGTGGTAAATTCGACAAATATGGAACAGTATAAACAAAATAAAAATTACTCATAATATTTTATTATTTGGAATATTTAATTTTATACACATATTACTTTAAAATAGAGATCCAATGTTAGTTTTGCAACTCAACCTTTGAGTTGCAAACCTTTGAGTTGCAAACCTTTGCAACTCAAAACTAACATTGGATCTTTATTTTTAAGTAATACTTTATGGCATAAGAAAATACGTAATATGCCATGAACTGTTACTTCAAAATAAAGAGCCAATGTTAGTTCTGCAATAAATATATAATAAATACAATAAATATACAAAGTAATATTTCAAAATATTTTAAAATATAGTAATATTTTCATATGCTATGAAATATTCCTTTGAAAATGCTTTAATGGAGCACTATTCTTCCCTCATAAGGTTTATTCCATAATTTATTTTACCAGTTCCAAATCCATATTGTTCAACAGATGACCTATATATTTTAAGCGGGAAATTAGTGGTAACATTTATAATCCTTCTTATAAAGCAAAGGGATAACCATTTAGGTCAAAGATGTTTGAAATCCATAAATAAAAGTTTGTTGATTGCTCGAAATAACAGTAAGTAGCACCTATGTTAGAAATTTAACTGCTTTTGTGTTAGTTTGTACCTTATCTCATATTTTTTGTACCTGCAATTCACTTTAAGTGTTTTCTCATTTAAAGCCACCAAAAAACAATTCATTTCAGTTTGGCACAAGTATTTAAAGAATAACAATACAAATGGCAATAATGTCAATACTTTCAACATGCAGAGCTTCATTATCAGCATGATGCAAGCATTATTATTTCTGATTCTCAGCACTTGAGACAGAGTATCACAGGCTTCTCATTAGGATGTGAGGTTTGTAAGATTTTACGCTAAAGCATCATCATAAATTTCACATAAAGATTGATAGATGTGAAAAACCTAAATTATATAATTAGGGACAAGATGATCAGCTGAGAAAATTAAACACAAAAATAGAATATGGCTTCCTTCTTTTAATGCCATGGTAACCTCTTGGGCTAAAGCCCAGTATCCACAATTACAATAACAGAAATTTACAGCTTTCCAGATGCTTCCCTCAGAGAGCAATGCCTGCCCCACTTTTCACCATTTCCTGGAAAAACTTTACTTATATTTCAAATCTCAGCTAAGCTTCACCTTCCTTAGAAAGTCATCTCCACTTCCCCACCAAACCTCACACACACACATTGGGAGCTCTTGTCTTCTATTCAGACTTTGTCATAGCCCCTGTTGCGGATTGAATTGTGTCCCCCAAAAAAAGATACATTCAAGTTCTGACAACTGGTACCTGTGAATGTGAAGATAGGGTTTTAACAGGTGTAATCAAGGTCAGATGAAGACATACTAGATTAGAGTGGGCCTAATCCAATGATTAGTATCTTTTTTTTTTTTTTTGAAATGGAGTTTCACTCTTGTTGACCAGGCTGGAGTGCAGTGGCATGATCTCAGCTCACTGCAACTTCTGCCTCCCAGGTTCAAGTGATTCTCCTGCCTCAGCCTCCCAAGTAGCTGAGATTACAGGCACTTGCCACCACACCCAGCTAATTTTTGTATTTTTAGTGGAGACAAGGTTTCACCATGTTAGCCAGGCTGGTCTAGAAGTCCTGACTCAGGTGATCCACCTGTGTTAGCCTCCCAAAGTGCTGAGATTACAGACGTGAGCCACCGCACCCGTCCGAAGAGTATCTTTATGAAGAAAATCTGAACACAGACAGACATACAGGGAGATTGCTAGATGATGATGGAGGCAGAGATTGGAATGAGGCATCTACAAGCTAACAAATGACAAGAACAGTCAGAAACCGTCAGAAGCTAGCAAGAGGCAAAAAATGATCCTTCCCTAGAGCCTTTGGAGGGATCCTGTTCTTGGCTATACCTAGATTTCATGATTCTAGCCTCCAGAACCATAAGAAAGTACTTTTCTATTGTTTTAAGCCACCTAGTTTGTGGCACTTTGATCCAGCAGCTCTAAGAAACCCACACACCATCTCACACCCTCTTCCTTATTCAATCATTCAACAAATTTCATTAAATGGTGACTATGTGCCAAACAGTATACTTTCTTGCTTGCCTCTTGCTCCACTACTAATCAATATGACCCTTCAGGTCAGGAACTTTATCATTGCATTCCATAGCCTACACAATTGCATACACAGAAGAGGGTGCTAATAAAAAATTGGTGATTAAATGATTAAATGCCGCTATTGATTTTTCATAGTGAGGTTATTTTTAAAGTGCTTTTGTCTCCTAGTGAAGAGTGATATTCAAAGAGGTTTTGAAGGCTGAGAATAAAAGAAAGCAGTCTTTTAATGACAATCACAAACGTACCTAAAGTAAACAACAGAATATGTGCATTTTAAACAAACAGGTCTTAGATTTCTGTTGTTGTTTTTCTCATCGACTATGCAAATAAAATGCCATTTCTCTTTGATTGTATGAATCTTTTTTACTTTGTCAACATAAAAACAGCCAAATGGACTTTCAATGAACTTGAACGATATGTTTGGGAAGGCCTGAGGCACAGTATAGCATAATGAATAAATTCTGAAGTCAAAATGCCTGAGTTTGAATTTCTGCTTCACTACTCCTTTGGTATAAACTTTAGCAAGCATTTAATCTCTCAAGACCTATAGTTCCTCGTCTACAAATTAGGATTAATGAGTATATATTACATATAAAGCATATAGGAGGATTCAAAGAGATACTGTATCTTTAATATGGTGTCTTGGTTATAGTAAATGTTTGATAAAGGTTAATTTGATTTATTTCTATTATATTACTCTCATTAGTAATAAAATGACATCTATAACAGTTATGGTTACAAAATCTGGTATGAAACTGTCTTAGTCCATCTGTGCTGCTATAACAAAAGACCTGAGACTGTAACTTGTAAACAATAGAAATGTATTTCTCACAATTTTAGAAACTGGGAAGTCGAAGATCAAGGCAATGGCATCTAGTGAGGACATTCCTGCTCTATCCTTAGTTGTCCTAAGGTGTAAGGACAAAAGGCAGACAAATGCTGTGACATCACATAGCAGAAGAGCAGAAGAGTGAATCCACCCCTGCTAACCCTTTTTATAAAGGCAGAGCCCTCAGGACCTAACCACCTCCCACCAGGCCCACCTGCCAACACTGCCTCACTGGAGAGCAAGTTTCTAATGCATGAATTTTGGGGGACATATTCAGAATTATGGCAGCATCTATTAGAAATTCTTACTAACTGAGAAAGATTAAATATTTAAGATTCTAGAAAACAGGTGAGATCATTCATTCATTCATTAACATCTACTGAACATGGGGCAATTACAAAAATAAGAGTCAAAGCAAAGATTGCTTTTGTCTTCAAGAGGCAATCAATCTACTCTTGATCAGCATTTCTAAGACTGGCTTCATTTTAAGTCTCTTGCAGCACTGAGATATATCACCATAGCAAGGGGTTGTCCATGTTGAGACGTGGATGAATCAGAAAGAACTGCCTGTAAATAACCTCAAGGTGGTATAGGCAGATAGAGTTATAGTTGCAGGATTCACTGGCTCCCTGCTTTCCTGGAAAAATGCTTATAACTCCTTAAACACAAGACACCTCATGTTCTCACTTCTTCTTATCGATAGACATATATTACTATTTACACCTCCTACATTATATTTATCTTTTTATTGGATATCCTTTCTCTTTTTTTTTCTCCTTGGAAAATTGGAAAAATTGAAAGATGTTATAAGACTTTAATTATTACTACCTATTATTTTACCCATTCTTGATTTCCTATATGGTGATTATAACTTTTAAGTACCCAATAAAATATTATTTTGCACATTCATTTCAACTAACTAATTTTTTATCTACCTTCTTTTTGCTCACCATGCCTACTTGCATCTCATCTCTTTTTCTGGAAATATTCGTTCGGAATACTTTCTTTAAATTTTACTCAAAAATACATCCTTTAGAAATGCATTTATTAAAGTGCTATAAGTGGCAAATGCTGTTTTCCTGTATTTCAATTTAATCCTTATTCTTGAATAATAGTCGAGCTGGTAGTCATTTGTTTCTTGGAGCACTTCGAAGATCTCTCTTTTCCATTATTGCTAACGCAAAGTCAAATTTAAGACTCTCATTTTATCCTAATTAATTCAATTTTTCTCTTGACTGCATTTCAGATTTTTTGTGTGTGTTTGGTGTATTTTAGTTCGTCTATGATATGCCCTGCTGTATATTTCTTTATATTCTAATTGTGATCTATTGGGCCTCCCCAAAGTCAGAAATTGTGTCTTTGATCAGTATTGAAAATTATCCTCCGTTACAATTTTGTTAGTGTTCATTGTAAAATTATTATTAGCTTTATTATGAAGGTGTTAAAAATCAACTGATTACTGGAGTGTTATTACCTCTCCCTCTTTCATTCTATTCTCCACTTCTGAAACTCTGAAAATATATATGTTGGAGCTTTTCCTTCTGTTCTCCGTGTCTCTTAAACATTCTTGCTAAGTTTCTATATATTTACTCTTTGTACTGTAATCTGTGTAATTCTCTTCAATCTATAGGTTATATTTCCCAATTATCACTTTAGCATTTTCTATTCTAGTGTTTTCCCAGTTTATCAGATTAGTGATCTCTTCTTTTCTTTGTTGTTTATACTGACTCTTTCTTTCCTCACGTGTTTTGTAACTTTTACTGTGAATTTATATTCACATCTGTGTTTTATTTGTAAAAAAAACTGTAGAAATAAAAAGATAAAATTATTTTCTTCTTGATAAATTTTGCTTTTGCTTTTCCAATTGCCCTCATAGACTTCCAATCTGGAAAGCTTGCATTTGCTTTATTGGCTTATAATTCAAATACTTCAGAAGCGGTGTAAATTCGAACTCTAAATATGATTCAGGTCACAGTTTCTTATGGGAGTTGTTTTATTCATTTTTTTAATGTAACACTCAAGTTAAGACATAATCAAAATGTTTTTTCATTTCTTTTACTGATTAACATATATTTTCTTTCCCCATCTTTCATTGCAGTATAGAACATAAATGTGACAATACTTGGGAGTCCCATTTCCATCTTCCCAATATGGTAAATTAAATAAAGGCATACATAAAGAAACAAATTTATGAATAAGTGAATCATTAAATTGAGGTGTTAATGCACACAGTTTGGCGTTAGGAAGTACCGGGTTAGAATTCTGGCTTTTTAATTTAGTAAATATGTGACCCAAAAATGGCTTTTTGTTTCAAGGCTTACTTTCACTATTTGTAAAATACCAATGAAAATTTCCATTTTTAGTTACCACAGTTATTTTGGTTGCAAATAATAGAGACTAAACACAAACTGATATAATAAAAACATGACTTTACTGTATGTAATTGGAACAGCCAGTGGAAAGGTGCAAGTATTTCATGGACTTAAACGATTGATATATTCCCTTTCTTTCTCTATCTGTATCTCTACCTCTCTTTTTCTTTTCTTACAAATGTATTTTCCTTTTGCATGGTTCTGTTATCAGACAGAATTTTCAAACAACGGCTATCAACAGTTCTGAGCTTACCTTCCATCAGTTTGGCAACCCAAATTAAAAAGAGTCCCTATTTCCTATTTATGCCAAATCCCCAAGACTTGCTACTCATTGGATATAATTTCCTATGCTTGAATCAGATATCTATCCTTCAGTCAAAGGATAAAACTAGTGAGGTCCAAGCCATATGGTCTGAGCAGAGAAAGATGCTTTTCCAAAGCACCTTTGACTCAAAGCATTCAGGACCGTGATATAAGGAGAAATAAATTGTAATAAAAAATAACAATAATTCATCAGTATATAGGACTGCGAAGGATAAAGTGATGTAATGATAAGAAATTAGCATAATACTACTAGTAGTACTATAGTACAGTAGTAGTTGTAATAGTATGTTTGTCTTTCGGTATCCATGGAGAATTTGTTCCAGGACCTCCTATGGATGCCAAAATCCATGGACGCTCAAGTTTCTGAGATAACATGGCATAGCACTTGCATATAATCTATGCACAGCCTCTCATATACATTAAATCATCTCTAGATTACTTACAAAATCTAAAACAATGTAAATCCTTTGTAAATATTTGTTATACTATATTGTTTATAGAATAATGACAAGAAAAAGGTCTGCATGTTCAGCACAGATGCATTTGTAAAAAAATATTTTTGATCTGTGGTTGGTTCAATGCATGGATGCAGAACCCATGGATACTGAAGGTTGGCTGTGTTTCCACTTGTACTGGTAACAGTAATAGCAGCAATAATAGTTGTGGGCTTTGATGTCAATGATTAAATCAGAAAAGTGGATAATTTTAATTTATTGTATCATATATAAGTACAACATCTGGTACATATTAGATATGACAAGGATTTTTGTTGAAACAATGAGTAAATAAATGAATAAATTTAAAAATACCCTAATATTCTAATTTAGTGGCTTTTAAATGTTTCTAGCAGCAGAAGCATTTTGTGTGTGTGTGTGTGTGTTTGTGTTCCAAAAAATGAGCATTTGATAATCCCAGCCTTTTATATCCCCAAGGTAAAAAACTATTCTTTTGTACTCCTGGAGCAGGCCACTGTATTTATGGTTCACCAGGAGACATAGGGAGGCAATTATATCTGAGAAAGCAAGGTTTTGAACTGAAGAGATTAATTTTACACTGAGGAGTAGGTGGATGCCAAACATTTACATTTTAATGGGGAGGCAGCTATATGAATCAGAACCTTCTTTTACGTTAATCAGAGAAGCTTTTTTAGATGAAATGCAGGTGGTTTTAGTCATTCTAAAACTCTTTTCCTACCAATTACCAATGTGCTTTTAGGAAAGATAGACTAGCTTGATGCTGATTAAATTCTTGGGTTGTATTTTGTGAATGTCTACTATTTTACAATTGTGAATAATAATTTTAAAACCATATTTTCCCATTTGTTTGCAACATAAAAGACTCAGGGAATGAAAGCCTTTGAGACTCACATATGTCTAACAAATTAGCCCTATCCCTAAAGAATTGGTATTAAATTTGATGTAACATATCTCTATTATAATAAATTTCCATGGACCGGATAGTAGAACTATGTAACTGGGACAGAAACTGTGAGTTCTAGAATAGAACTTGACGTTTTACAGAAAGTATGGCTATCAAACACGAAGGTTTTCTTATCTTTCCTGAAAGATATAAACTTAACTACCTCATTGATGCAATACTTTTCATCAGTTCACTGATTATTTTTTAACTCCACTATGTTTACATGCATATCAATGATCTAGATGAATGTAGTTGTAATTGGCATAATAAATTTTCCTCGTTTGATTTTTCTTATTGCTCTAGAGAAGGAAATGTCATCAACCCACCTTACATTCAGCAGACAGGTTCAAATCTGTTTTTTCAGACCTTGTTTGATATCCTTTCCTTATTCCCACTTTAACATATCCTTTACCATGAGCATACAGTTACCTTACTTGCTGCTAATTCGTCCATCAATCCTGTATGCATTTGCCAGGAAACAGTTTTGCTTCACTAGCAGTCCTTGATTCTCAGTGGATAGGCACTAGGTTATCTATTGAATCGAAGGAAATTCCCCAGCATAGTCAGCCCTGGGACTTCCTGTTTTTAGTCTAGTGGTTCTTTAAATGTGTCATGACTGAATAAGTAATGAGTTATCTAGCACAAACTTGAATTTTAACTCACATTAAGTATTAATGAGTTTACATTCACCGGGTTTAAATTGATGAACACTTGGTGACCCTACCTCCAATGTTCCACCTCCATTCCAATTTTAATGTTGCTATTTAGGTTTCTCTTTTGAAAATACAGATCTAATTTCAATACCTACTTGTTCTCAAATCTCTCATAGTTTCCTGTTCCTGAGAGAATACTCAAAACATACTCTGTCATCCTCAAACCTCCTCAGCATGTGGAGTTCACTTAAATTCTGTACAGCAAAATAAAGGTTATGAAAACCTTTTGACAAGTCATAAAGATCCTATGCACTTCCCTTTCTTTTTTCTTTTACTTCTCACATTTACATATAACCTATAAAATAATTCTAGAAACTGAAATTTTATTGACTCCAATGATCTCATTTCTCACTCCTGCTTGAAATCCCACTGTTATTGTACTAATTTAGGGCCTCATCACATCTCACTTGGGCTATTTCAGGATTGCCTAATTCACTTATCTGAATCTTACTGCTCTAACTTCAGTCTATCTCTCACCCTATAGCCAGTGGGATCTTTTTAGTAGAAAAATTTGATCATGTCACTTGCTTCTGTGGTGACCCACGTGGAACCCCAGAGTTGTTAAGAGTTGTTATGAAGACTATGTTAAGCTGAAGACATTTGAGATGTATCAGATACATGAAGAAACATTCTTAGAGCTCTGTTATCTGACTAAAAACAGGAACTTCTCAAAAATAAATGAGGCAGCCATAAATTCCCTCTTTGGAGCAGGTCCTCTTCCAAGAGGAAAATCAGGAATGAATTTGTCATAAATTCCCTGTAAGGGGATTTTTTTTTTTTGGTCATGGTAAGACCACCTGCATCTGCATACACAAACATTTTCACCAACTTTCATAACTTCAACTTGTTCTCCTAAAACCCTTTTGTCTTTCCTATAGGCACCTATTTGTTCTCCCCATAGAAACATTTTATTCCCTCTCTCTTACTAAGTTGGGCATATAAGCTTCCAACTTTAACCATTTAACAGCTAGCTACTTCTTCTGTTAGCTCGATATGCATACAAACAACTCTTTCACTTCCTTACCCTGGCTGTTAGTCTTTCTAAGACGTGGCACCTCCCTGTGTCACCAGCCCTTGTCCTGCTCCTCTTTAAGTCCTGTTCCTGCTGTGCCAAATCCGATCAGGCAACCTGTTCACTGGCCTCACACTCATTCATGTGTGTAGAACAATCTTTGCTTGTCAACTGGGAAAACTATTGTTCAAAGTCTTATTCTGATCATCACGTTACATTTGAAGTTTTCATTATTATGGTCTGTCAAGATCGAATTAGTCTCACTTCCTCTGAACTATCTACATCCTGAATGTAATTTTCCCTTTGCCCCTATTTCACTGTCACTTGTGGCATTAGGGTTATTAATAATTATTAGTTTAAGTTTTAACTCTTCAAGGAAAAAACATCAAAATATTTTTCTGATTATTTCTATATACCTGGAATTGTAATGTGGAGATAGCATAACTAGATAGACTAAATTTCTCTTGACCTGTATAGGCTAGTGACTGTTTTCCTCATATTTGTTACTCTGAGGAGAGAAAGCACTGACATATATTTATTAAATAAGCATTTAAGTAATTGCATCTTTAAATAATTGGATATGGTATGAACTATGAAGAGAATTCAGTCTCATTTAAAAAAAATATTTTTAATTAGTTTTGACCAGTATTTTCAGAAGCTACATAATAAAAGCATGCTGATCCCATCTCCAAATCAAACTACTAAAGAAGAGATAACCACCCATCCGAAAGATTGTAACTTGCTCTTAGATCTGAAAGGCAGACCGGCAAACATGCTCAGGGCATCTCACCCATCCTACGTGGAGCTCTCCAGAGGTGCATTCACATAATTCTATCGACTCTATTATAGCCATGCCTAGGCTTGCCTTCAGCAGCTCCAATAATAGCAAACCCCTCACCTTCAATCACAACTTGTTCTATTAACAATCATAAACTTTTTTAGGAGCTGAGGAAAAAAATTGCGTGTGTGTGTGTTTGTGTGTGTCTATAGACTTTGAACAACTTGCTGCTACAGTTTTACAGATAAAATTAAGACAACTCTTTAACAAAAATGAGAAGTGAATTTTCAATATACTAAATGGCAAGGAAACTTGTTTTTCTTCTCTTTCTGATAGAATAACAATACTGTGAAGAAACTAGAGTTCTTTTAGTTCAACATCACTGTTTTACAGGTGGGGTACTGAAGTCCAGGAGAGGACTACACAGACAAATAGGCTATTTCATGGACAAGCCAGGACTAGAACATCCATCTGCCTAATCTCCCAGATCTCCTTTCCCCATTCCACCTCCTCTTTATCTGGGAAAGATTTTATTGAGTTTTTTTTTTTTTTTGGCTCTCTCACCTTCCATAATATTCATATATATATATATATATATATATATATATATATAGAGAGAGAGAGAGAGAGAGAGAGAGAGAGAGATTATGGAAGGTGGAAGAGACAAAACAATTTATTACACATATAATATATATAATAAAAACAATTATAACATTATATATAATTTGTAATACATATAATTTTATAATTACTTTAGTGATAGAATAACATTCAGTAACATTACTATATTTACCACATGTCCTCAGTCTCCTGCCCCATTCACCCTCCAGCCTGACTACACACACAGCAAGCAATAATTTAGCCCTTCCCACTACCCTGAGTAGAGCTTTTCTCTTTCCGACTGGTTCCTAAGGTCTTCGTGACTGATCTATACAATCGGCTTGAAAGGACAGAATCTGAGAAGCAGAGGAGGGGAGAAAGAGTTAGGGAACACTATTACAGTCGTGTCACTTAAAAATGGGGATACATTCTGAAAATATGTCATTAGGTGATTTTGTCATTCTGCAAATGTCAGAGTGTACTTACACAAACCTCGATGGTATAGCCTACTATATACTTAGGCTATATGGTATAGCTTCTTGCTCCTAGGCTGCAAATTCGTAGCATGTTACTGTGGGCAATTGTAACACATGGTAAGTATTTGTGCATTTAAACATATTAAAACATAAAGTATGTACAGCAAAAATATGGCACAGAAGACAACAAATGGTACACCTGTATAGGGCACTTACCATGAATGGAGCTTGCAGGAATAGAAGTTGCACTGAGTGAGTCAGTGAGTGAGTGGTGAGTGAATGTGAAGGTCTAGGACATTATATACACTACTGTAGACTTTATAAACACTGTACACTTAGGCTACACCAAATTTATAAAAAATAAAGTAACTATGCTACAAGGTTATGACCGCTGAAATGTCACTAGGTGACAGAAATTTTTCAGCTCCATTGTAGTCTTATGGGACCACCTTCACTTATGTGGTTTGTCTTTGACCAAAATACTGTTATGTGACATGTTATGTGACATGTGACACCAATCTACAAGAATCCAGAAAGGAAAAAGGCAGAAGCTATGAGATCCTTTTTGGCTGAAAGAAGACAGACTTTTAGTGGTGGAGGGTGCAGATGGAGAGATGTCAGTTGAAGCTCCAGAGGATGCTTACTGCAAGAGTACATAGGAAGGGACACTTAGGGTTATGGCTTAAATCTCCTTTATAATCAGTAAAGAGTAAAACTTTGTTATTATTGTTGTTGTTATTACTGGTAGGCCTGTTTGAACAGTTTCAATAAACATGGCCTTGCTATAAAAGCTTTGGTTTTACTTGAGCTAAAGGAGATAAACAAATTAAAATTCTTGAACAACTAGGTTTAAATGCATTTAAGAATATTATATTCTAGACTGGGATTTGTCAAGCCAGGGCACATTTTTTTTTGTATGGCTTATGCTCTACATGATTAAAGGGTTATACAAACAACAGCCAAAGCATAACTGGCAGGCAAATCCTAAAGTATTTATTATCTGGCCCTTTACAGGAGACACTTGCTGACCCCTGTTCTAGACGAAGGGCAAAGAAGGCCTTTTTACATTTCCTAAATCTTTGAGTTTGAACTTTCCCTTAAAAATGAGTTGGAAAATTGGTCAGATGTAGAAATTGGGACTTGGGAGACCAAAGTGCTACTCTATCCAAAGTGAGACTGACAATCAGGAGTGGTTACAGCTGAGAGCCCAGGTCAGTACTGTGGGAGGAGATTAGAATGCAGAGATTATGAGGACTCTGTGGCTGCTCTCAAGAGGCTTACAGGCTAAGGACAGCAGATCCAACATGGAAGCTTTTCAAAGTTTGAGAGGCATTTCTTGAAAAGGGATCTGTTAATTTTAACGTAACGGCCAACAAAGCTTTGGAGTTAAAGTTAATCTTTTTGAACAAGTCATATGACTCCAACAGTTTCTTTCTTCACAGAATGGTCACAAAATTGATAACTTTTTAAATAATATTATTGTGAAAATTAAAGTACTGACCTTTAATATTACCTGGCGCAGACAAGTGATAGGTAGAAATTATTAAATTGTAGGTGTTTAATTCTTTGTGACTTAAAAGAACAATCTCCAGTTCATACAACAGGTTGTGGAGCAATTGACAGCTTTGAGACAGCTCAGTAAGACAGCTGAGAGGCAAATGATAGAGCTATTTTAGTGGATAAGAGACATGGGATGCTTAGTTTCTTCCCCAGGTAGTTTTAGATGCCCAGATGGAGTGGAATTATCATTTCCATTATCATCAGTGTAACTAGTGAAAGGATATATACATAATTGTCTCAAACACCTTGCTTTTCATTTCTTACAGCTGAATCCCCAGCGTTTAGTTAATATCTTAACTGCAGAGAGTCCCCAAAGGACAAGGGGTCCCAAGAGGTCTGTAAGGGGTAAAGGTGTCTATAGTGTTTAATACTCGGTTAAAACAAGCAAACATACAAAAACACATAACACAACAAACACAAAACTGAAAGATTAATCATTTGTTACAAGCTTTATAAAAACCTCCCTCTGACCTTCAAAATGTCCATGAATCCCTATGTCATATAGCCAAGGGTTATTTTTAACAATTTAAGGAATGGCCAAATAAATCTTACACTAGGCACATGGGAAAGATGATCTGGATATCATAGCATCATTTCATTTTATTAATACCTATATTTGAGTAAAAGCTGAAATAGGATTTGTTACGCCAGATTCTCTAACAGCATAACATTATTTATACTGGTAGGTATGGGTAAGTAAGTGAGTTAATGTTGCAGCATTTTTTAAAGCCAGCTGTTCCCCAAGCAAGGAAATATCTGGCTGTCAAAAATGATCGATTGTATAAAAAGAACCAAGCTTTGCAAATTTCTAAACAAGATATTCAGTGAAGTTCTCCAACTACCTAAACAAGCTTATTCTAGCAACCAAGTTGTGAGACTAGGAGCTTCGGTTTCATGCTTATAGATATGTTTTCCTTACCCCAGAGTGTCAGTAAATCGAAAATGTCACAACCCTTGGGGCGCATGAAAAATGCATATTATTTCACATCTGTTTTTCACTTGATCCCAACGGGCCTGATATTTCTCCAAATTGCTATGTGGAAAAACCAATTTAATTTGATTGAGGTATCAACAGAAACTTAAAGCAAAGTAGAATACTTGCTTTAAGGTTAAAATGGGAAACTTTGCTTTGTATTGTTATTGCTGAGAAATGCTTCTAGGAGAATTGTTCTTTATTTTAAATTTATTTTCTTTGCTTCGATTACAACTTTGACTCATCTCTTTAACATGTAGTTCGAGAAGCCTTCCAAAATTTCATCAAAAATATTTTTCTCTTTTCTAAAAACCGTAAAGGCATATAATGGAAAGACGAAAGCTTAGAAATGGATAGACTGAGTTGAAAGCACAACCCTGTTTTGTAATAGCTATGTAACTTTGGTGAAGTTATTTAACCTGAGACTCATTTCCTCTCATACAAAATTAGGTATGGGATACAAACACCTTAGTAAATATAAATGCCCAAGCAGAACCTAAGCAATAATAATTCTGTTCATTTTTAAAAACAAATGGACAATTCTAATCAGTTGAATGAAGCCTTAGATGATAGAAAAGATGACTGATACTGGTCCCTGCCTGTTTGGTAACAATGTGATTTCATTTTTATAAACATTTCTATGTATCATGACTCTTGTCTTCACATATTCTACAGTTATCTGCAAAGCATGGTTTTGACTATGAGAACATCAAAAATCACTCCAAATGCGGGGAATGTAAAAATACAAGAACTGTATTGAAGGGAAATGTTGGTGATCTGAAGGAGGACGGAATATAACCCAATCCATCAACCTCTGATCATCTCTACACTCTCGCCAATCTCCTCAGGGGGAGGCATCAGATTCGATCAAGCACAATCCATTTTGCAGAAGGGCTGTGTGTTCACTGATAAGCGTGCTCAGCGACAGGCAGAGCATTGTCTGCAGCTTCTCCCTAGAGCACTCGCTGGCTATTTATTTCACTTTTCCCCTATCAAGCAAAGACATTTACTAAATTTTGCTTTATGTTGTCACAGGATTCCTTTGAAAAGCACCCTGTTTGGAGCCGGCTGAAAAGGTTGGCAAAGGCGGATGCCTTGTGACAAGCTCACAGGGCTGTACTGGCATATGTGGGATTTCTTAGGGAAAATTATCCCTTCACTGGGCAATTAAAATCCATCTGGTTACTCTGCCAGCTGAAGAATTCAGCGAATTCAGTGCCAGAAACTATCAGGTGTGGATGTCTCAAATTTCCTTTGAATGAGATGTTGGGAACATTCATCCCTCAATGATGTATCCCTTGTGAAATATTGTTAAAAATACAGAATAGGAAAAGAGGGTCATACAATCACAGAATTGTTTATCAGGAGTTCTTTACCATTTTTTGTAATGTCAACCACTTTGGCCATCTGGTAAAGCCCATGGACACCTTTCTCAAAATAATATAAAATACATTTATATACTTGCAAAGAACAAATTATATTTAAGTAAATTATAAATATTTATTGGTAATTCAAATAATAAGTTCAAGAGCAGGACTGATAACTAATACAATTTCAAAATAGTGGTAAGTATAAAGGTTATCTCAATATACATGCAGCATCTTTAACATGATACAAAATTATTTTTATTTCTATTGGTGATAAAGTGAGAGGAATCGTTAGCACTATTGAATTCATTGCCCACATTTATAAAACAATGGATATTTAAATTTCAATTACTAAATCGATAATGATAAAGGCATTATTTCTTCATTCATGTATATGGTGCTCCATTTATGAACATCTAGTGGGAAAAGCACTGGTCTCAGAGTGAAAAGACTTGGGTCGGCAATGTAATGCCACCACATTCTAAAGGTATGATTTAGGCAAGAGAGCGTAAGAACTCTTTCTCAACTTTATTTCACAGGGAGTTTTGTAAAAATTGAGTGATATAATAACACCAATAATAATATTTATTGAGAACTTACCCTGTGGCAAGTACTATGCTCATTGCTTTAAAGGCATTAACTCAGGACATATAGGAGAGAATTCTTGATACAATCCAAAATTGTATCCAAATATATATACAAGGTTCTTACACGAAACAAGATATCTTAGAAAATCCATTTTAGCCTAGACATTTCATGGCAAAAACTTTAAAGCCTGAAGGAATTCCAGAGGAACTTATACTGATGTTATATTGGTATTATTTTAGCAGAAGAAAAGGAACTTGAAGAGATCTATGGTCATTTTGTTGGGTGTCGCCCTGAGGAACAGAGGGATTGCACACCAGAAAATTCCACACTGACACTATCAGGCTCCGGCCTGTACTACCAGAAAATTCCACACTGACACTATCAGGCTCCGGCCTGTACTACCAGAAAATTCCACACTGACACTATCAGGCTCCGGCCCGTACTACCAGAAAATTCCACACTGACACTATCAGGCTCTGGCCTGTACTACTGCTCCTGTCCAAAGCTCTTTTTTCAGTATAGTTTTGAGGTGATGGTGGTTGGGGTAATCATAAAAATATCCAACCATATAGGCACAGACTAGTCAGAAAGGACTCCTTGACATTTGGGAAAAAAATGCCAGTATTGAGCAAAAGGCTTAATACCTTAAAAATTCATCCCAATATCATTTAAAAAAACTTAAAGTAGAGAAACAGAAAAAAAGTCCTATATTATTTTAATGAAGTAAGCATACATATGATACCAACCCTAATAGTTACTGGTTTAAAAAAATATATATATAGCTCTCCCATAAACAAGAAATGTTATTCCAGGAACATAGATATTCATCAATATTAAAAATATATTTTTATAATTTATCATATTAATAAACTAGGAGACAAATTATATAAGCATTTCTCTGAATGCTTATAAGCCATTTGAATTTTTTGATTAAAAATAAATATCAAATATATATATTTCACTAACATTATAAAGCATATCTATCTCAAAATCAAAGTCAACATCATACTTAAAAGAAGAAGATTAATGTATATTGTGATATCTATAATCACAATTAGTATTAATCCTTTTTGGAAATAGCAGCCAACAATTTAGAGAATAGAAATGAGTTGTATAAAATTTAGAAGGATCTAATAAATATGATTATAAACGTGGAAACTCAAGGAAGTGATTGTAAAAACTATTAGCACTAATGAAAGAATTTTGTGAGGGCCTGAGCACAAAATATTAATACATAAAATAACAGTTTTTATATATGCAAACCAAATCCACTTAAAGGACATAAAAAAAGAAAAGAAATTCATTCAGAACAGCAATTAAGTAGATAAAATACTTAATAACACATCTAACAAGAAATGTCAAGATTTATACAAAGATAAATTTTAAATGTTCCTGCAGTACCCAAAGACGATTTGAAGAAACAAAAAGTCATACTGAGTGTTTGAATAGGAGGATTCAACTTCATAGCAATGCCTGCACTCCCTAAGGTACTCTACCAATTTATCATGGTACAAATACAGTACAAACCCAACTTTCCCTCGGGTTGAAAGTAAACAGTTGATTATAAATTTTATATTAAAAAACAAGCAATAATCATTTAAAAACTTAAAAAATAGCTCCAATAAAGAAGTATGATAATGGCAAATAGAGAGTCAGTGTCTCACATTAGACAGTCCAAAAATAGACTCAAATATGTATTGGAGTCTTCTGTCTAATAAAGATGGCATTACAAATAAGTAACGAAAATATGAACTATTCAGTGAAAAATTCTATATAAACCTGATGGCCAGTTGGGGAAAAATTGGTTCAGTTTATACCTTACTCATAGTAGTAGGACAAATCTAAATGATGCAAACATTTTAAGTATTTTTGGAAAATAAAATCATAAACTTATTGATAGAAAGCTTGGGGTGTTTAAAAATAACATCAGATTGGAAAAGGCATTTATAAATATAATCCGAGACCCAGAAGCCATTAAAACAATGTTTAAATCGTCTACATAACTGGATGACAAAAAGCACCATAAGCAAAATGAATAAATGAACAGAAAAATATTTTCAACTCATCACATGAAAAGATAGAAAATTGGCTTCAATAAAGCTTAAAGTTTTTAAAAGATAAATAAATAAAAAATCCAATATCTAGGAGAATAATAGGAAAAGGAAAGTAAGCAGACAGTTCACATAAAAGCAAAGGCAAATGACTCTCACACACATGAAAATATGTTCAGTTTCATTCCAAAAAAATAAAAATAAATTAAATTAAATTAAACTAGTATGCCACCTTTAACCCACTCAATTCCAAAGACAGAAAAGTTGGGTAATTCACAGTGTTGAGGAGCATATAGGGAAAGAGGTATTCATATTATTGGCTAGGATAAAATCCGCACATCTATAGAACACAATTTTACAATGTTTGGCAAAATATGTATTATATATATTACTTGAATATACACCAAATGACTGCTATATAAAGTTGTTTGTTGCAGAAATATTTATTAATGTCCATCAATAAAAGGCTGCCTAAACAAATTGTGGTACTTTCCTATAATGTATCTCTTCCATGTTTACTAAGAGTTTTTATACACAGGTAAGTTATATTTATATATCTTCACAGTTTTGTATGTTTGCTTAAGAAATAAACTCACGATATTTATAAGGCTTTTAACTATAAATAAGATAATATTCTATATAGTTTATTGCATTCTATAAGTTTTAAATAAGCAGTGCATGTTTCATGTAACAAATTCTAGAAAATTGTGAACTAAATTTTTTAAAACTGCAAAAAATCTTACAGATTGTCATTATTCACCTGTTATCTGTCACTATCAGCATTTATACATTAACAGGTGAACTTTTCATCTCACCAGAAGCCTGTATGGTCACTGACTGCAGGGAAATCATAAAAAGCATTCTGAGAGAGATCTTAACAAAACATATGTGAGTATTGTACTCATTTATTTATTTATAGAGTTAGGTAAGTAGTAGGCAGGTAGGTGAGTAGGTTTAGATAAATGAAGATAGATAGGCAGATGGAAGGACAGACGGATAGATAGAGTCAGTGTGTAATTCTTTGTTTCTTCATCAATGTTACTGCCCAATCACATGCATAAACACCTACTCCTGCCTCTCTTTTAGACCCTGACACCATCTTTTAACTCAGATAGTCTTACTATAATACAACATGAAAGAGTTCAAGTCAGTGATCCTTTCCCCTAGAGCAGTATTTTCAAAGTATGGGTTTCAAATAAAATGTGGATCTTAAATGCAATTTACTGGGTCATAAACAGCATTTTATTTGAATAGAAAAAACAGAACTGAATAGAGAACATAAAAACATGCATAATAAATAGGTTTAGATATTGTTTCACAACAATTTTCTTTGAATTTTAGTCGCAATTTCATTTATGATGTGTGGACTGGTTTTGACAAAAAAACATATTTCTTAGAGTGGGGCAAGATAAAAAGCCAAAAATATTTGAAAATCATTGCCACATTTTAGGTACCAAAAAGCAGATGGGAGGATTTAATCTAAGATCTAGATAAGAAATCATTTTCCAGGGCTTTGCAAATTAAATCACAGCTAAAGCAATTAATGTTTACATTGAATTTACTAAATGTTTTTACATTCATCTTCCAATTGATCTTCTAAATCATTCCCTTTATGCAGATAAGGTAACCGAGATTTAGTAGAGTGTCTTTTCCAAGTTCATTTAGCTAAGAAGCCATAATGTAGAATTAGAAATCCAGCCCAGGCTGAATCCTATACCTTCTTGATTGACAGAGATGGCAAACCAATTTATTCATTTGTTTATTCACTCATTCAAAAACGTTTACTGCATACTCCCTGTCCACTATAAACCAAAAAAAATGTCTATTATATATATTTCAGCCATAGCGCTGAGAACAGGGAGGAAACTGAGGGCAAAACAGACAACGCCCTTGTTTTCATGGGGCCCACAGTGTAACATCAATAAGACTGGCAAGTAGCAACATGTGAGTGGACCTCGAGAAAGTTCACCTTCTCTCTGAACACTGATCTCACTGATACCTGAGACTCGTGATGCAAATTAAAAAGCAGGGATTTGCCATTACACCAACCCATGTTCAAATCCTCACTTCTTTCTCTACCCTGATTGCATGCTTTTGATGTTGGGCAAGTTACTTCTCAGCCTCAGCTTCCTCATTCTAAAATGGAGATTAGAACACCTAAATTGCAGGGCTGTTGGGAGGGGGATTAGAAATAATACACTAAAAATTCAGAGGCCCATGTTTTGTACCTGGGGCAGCTATTATTATTAGCTATTGTACCAGTGAATCCACACAAATTCTGCAGGATACTCGCTTAAAACACAGGGGCTCAGACATCAGTGTTAACAGTGATAGATAGGAAAACACCCTAATAAACGCCTGTCAAGCCTCTTGCATGTATAAATGCCAATTTGTAGGCCCTGGCAAATATAAATATAAAAGCTGTCTACAAATAATGTGTTTAATGAGGACAATAAAAACACAACACAGCACAGAGAAAATTGAGAGCTCAATATTGCCATCAGTGCCAACGTATTTCATTTGTTTCATCTACATAAGTCTACAAAGCCAAGCTTGCTTACTACTGAAAATTATCTTGATTCAGTGGTAACTGGTTCTGCTTAAGGCACCCAGGCCTATCTAAATGTAAAATACTCCCCTCAGGACACTTAGGAAGGCTGAAGCTATTTGGCAACAATCATTTTAAAGTTCCCTGTAAACATTTATCCTGACCGTTGATACCATCCCATTCTCTGGAGTTTAGCATCCCTAGGGTAAACACCACAAACTATGTGAAATTAGGTGGTGGTTAGAAGATGTAGCTTCACTAAAAAGAGTGAAAAGTAATAGAAACTCTTATGAATTTGTCTACAGTAAAAACCTGTTGTTAGTTTAGGAAAGGTTTGTTTAAGCTCTGACATTTCAAAATAAGGCATCAAATATTTTAGGCTGCTTAATTTTTGCAAGCTGCGAAACTTGTGCTTTTGAAAAGGAAAAAAAGAAAAACAAAAACAAATGAGGAACGTTTAAAGAATCTTTTCTTCCTCCTCAGTTCTGTCAGCCCCAGACAGACTGAAAAGAGTTCCCTGAGCTAAGGCTTTTTATAAGGTTAAAGTAAAGGATTTAAAGTAAATAGAAAAGATTACTTTATTCATATTAAACAAACTAGTCTTGAGAGAGAAGTAAATAATTCACATTGGGGAAAGACATGGATTCTTCTAGTCTACTGAACTAGAAGAGGTAATTTACTAGATACTATACAAATGGCCAAAAAATTACATTTTATGCACATTCATTTGTTCTCTCCCCCCTCCCAATCCCAGCCCAAACCACTGACTTCATTCAAAGACTGAGATGAGGAATGTTCAGGAATCCTGGTTTCCCACTTACAGATAGTTAAATAACAAGCATGGTTAACACGGATGATTTTATACTAGTGGCTAAGGAGCTTCCCATTCTCAGAACCTCAACCTAACTCTAAACTAGAGCTGCCTGCTTCTCTTCTCTCCTGTAGAATCTAACTTTTCTTAGTACAGAAGGTTTCCTCCAGACTCTAACCCCATGTAATCCAAAGGTCCCTCCACCTGCCCAATGCATTCAGAGAAAAAAATAATTAGCAACCCAGATATTGGAAAAGAACAAATTGGCACATAATGCCTCACATACATGACAGTAGAATAGACTATTTTAAGGAGAGAGATATTCCCTGGTGAAATAATATCTAAAATCTTTGTTTGCAGCAGAAATATAAATATAATTACTATACACAAATAGGCTTGATTATTTGTAGTATGTTGACCTTCACACTGTTAGTTATCTACCAAACATCTCTAGGGAAGAACACAAAATTCAGAAAGAGGAAAACCAAATGAGTTGTCGTCAGTGTCTCTTCTGACCTAATGGTGTCATTTTACAAAGAAAAACCTCCTCTACCTCAGCAACCCCAAGATTTTTTGATTAACTGGAGAAAAAACATTCCCTCGCCCAGGGCTGCACCCATACAACCTTTCCACATCACTTGGTTCTCACAGACAGGATGGTTTTCCACATTCCCCATCCCCAGATCTTTCAGGCAGTACTCAACTGTTCAATCCTACCTGACTTCCATCCAAGGTTAAGGCCACTGCTAGGTCCTTCCTACATCTTCCACCCTTAGAGTCAGCATTTCTGCCTTTCTCTCCCAGGTAGTTGAAACAGTCAAGGCAAAAATAATTGTTTCCCATACCCACAGTCTATGCTTAAGATCTGAGGAGACTGAGAACTACTCCTTGAGATCAGTGGCTCTTAAACGTTAGCAGCATCAGAATCAGTTGGAGGGCTTGTTAAACAGGATGTCCGGGCTGCACTTCCAGAGTGTCTTATTTAGAAGGTCTGGGACGAAGCCTGGGTGTGTATATTTCTCAGAAATATCCCAGTAGGACTGATGCTGTTGGTCTGGGACCACACTCCGAAATTTTAGACAAATATCCTGCTGATGATGGGGGAAGTTGACAACCCAATCTTGGTCAATGGAGTAGATAAGATCTACATCCCAAAGACTGAGAGTGGAGGTCTTGGTCTTAGACAAAGGAAGAATGGAATGACTCCAGAATATAACTTTAAAAATCTCAGTAAAAGGTTTTCTCACAAAGTAAAACTGCATAAGAATAGGGATACCACTCTGAATTGACGGTACCTGATTTCAATAAACTGTGTCTGACATAAGGAGTCTCAATACAGTGATTAATTCTAAGAAAGCTGTACTGCATCATATTTATCCCTTGGTACAGTAGGGTGACCACAGTTGCATCCTATATAACATGAAACAATATTTAATTTGGAAATGTTAAGTGAGTTTTAGGGCAATAGCAAAGGTAGAGACCTTTTAAATCAAGTGAGAAGAAACTGCTAGTTAGAGGTAATAAAAATATATTCTTAGGGCAAAGAACATTTATTAAAAGACTTCTACAACTTATACAAAGGATAATATTAGGCTGAACCTTTTTAAATTGCCAATACCTAAATGCATTTGACCTACAAAACAACAGCTTATTGTGGTTCAATCTACCAGTAATCTCAGTAACAAAGTGCCGTGTATTTCATTGAAAGCAGGTGAAAATCATTAGTTTGAAGATGCGCAAGCAAAGATATTACATCTATTTTCTTCACTGCTCTCCCTGGTGAATTTCTATGCCTGGCACATGGTGACCACTTAATAAATGTTGGTTGCATAAATAAATGGTCTATGTGGAATTAGGTGTTTTCAGAACAATGAAATTCCCTAAATAGGTATGGTTGGAGACCGAGTTTATTTTGATCTTGTGTGTCTTGTGCTGAGTTATTAATCTTGTCTATTTCCATGAATTAATTTTCTTTTCTTATTTTTTATTTTACTCCTGTGAGGTCACCCATTGGACCATAGCATGTACATAACTGTTGTCTAGACCGCGAACCAAGATGTATCTTGCCCTCTCAACCCCTTCTGTCTTGCAGAACTGAATCATTTCATTGTTACACTTGCAATCCCTGTTTTCTAAAGCTTCCACTGGACCCCCTTTAACCTTTGCCAGGTTTCTACTTCTTATTTGAATGTCCTTCATCTTTTCCAATTGTCCTTTGGCTGGATTCAATGCTTAAGTGACTATTACTTTGCAATGCACATGCTGTAACCTCAATTTTCCACTCACTGGTGTTTATTTTCTGAGGAAAATTGCACTTCATTATAGATCTATTCATCTGTGAGTTGGGGGGAATATAGTATTATTCCAGGAGTAAATGGGCCACTTTTTCCTCCTTTTGCTCGGGTAGCAAATGGGAAAATAAGTTTGGGTTCTTTTGCAGTTGATTTGCAAGGATACTTAATCAGAATTGTTAGAGCTGTGGCAATTCCTCAATATCAAGACAGAATATAATATTACTTATGAAATGTAAACAAAAGGGCTGTACTTGAAAATTCCAGTGCACTATAAACCCACAGCAGGTAAAAATCACATGTGATTCAAAGAACTCACAGCTGTGCAACACTATCTAGCTCAATATGCTAGCACCTCACTTCACACAACAAAGGTGCTTTGAAAAATAGCTTGTCTATTAAATTTTTATGGACTGACTCATATTTTAAGTGTCATAGAGAACACATAGCTAAAAATTAAACAATGCATTTAAATAGCATTTTAGATTTTACAAGGGTTTTTATATAAAAATATGACACCGGGTTGTCATCACAAAGAGAACTGTCAGGGCAATAAAACCAATAGCAGTATGATCCCATTTCATTGGTCAGGTTGGATTACATGACTCACCTAAGTTCACACAATATGTGGCAGAATTCAGTTATTAAGGAAATATTTTGTCCTAAAACTCAAGTTTTTCCCTCTTTTTCAGGTTGCAGGCATCTATAGTTTAACTTTCAATTTTAGATATCAGTCTGGTTTTAACTCAGTGCTCTTTATTTGGACTTCTTTCCTATAGAGTTGGTGATATTTCCTATAAATTATGCCTATATGATCTACATCAAGATCTGAATTATTGATAGGCATAATTCTCTTTGATATTTTAGTTTTCTAGAAGAGCTCACACAGGACTTTGGTTAAATGTAAAGAACTGTGTCTTAGACTGTTCCAGTTGCTATAAAAAATGCCATAGACTGGGTAGCTTCTGAACAACAGAAATTTATTTCTTATAGTTCTGGAAGCTGGGAAGTCCAAGAGCAAGGTAAAGGGAGATTTGGAATCTGGCAAGGGACCATTCCTCATAGACAAGCACCTGTTTCTGTCCTCACTTGGTGGAAGGGTCAAACAAGCTCCCTAGGGACTCTTGTCTAATGGCACTAATAACATTCATGAGGACTCTGTCCTCATGACTTAATCACCTCCCCAAAAACCACATGTCTTAATACTATCATACTGGGGACGAAGTTTCAACATGTGGATTTGGGGGGAACATAAGCAGTCTTACCATAGCAGACTGCCTCTATATTTTTGGTATGAAAGTCCATTTTTGGCATGGAACTACCGGGGGGAAACAGGGAGACACGGCGTTTTAGGTCCCTGTGATGTGACCCTGGCTTTATTTCTCTGACATTCCAGTGAAGATTACCTACTCCAGAGACTATAGATTTATAATGGGGAAACTTCTATAATTTTTTTGTTTGTTTGACGTGAACATCTTTAGTAGATAGGAACATAGCTTGAATATTTGATAACAAAGTCAAACTTAGGATAAAAAATTAACAGCAAAAGCAACAGGCTAGACAAGAGTAAATGTGTAACTTCTCAATGTTTAACATGATGTACAAAGTTCTCTGCGATCTAGCTCTTGCCTACATTTTTCTTCTGCTATCTTCTAGTCTCATTGGAAGCAAGTGGGAAAGAATAATATATTATTTCAAAGGGGAAATAATTAATCTATTCCACCACAAGGGGCCACGGTTTAAGCCACAATGTCCTTAACCATGTTTCCATAGAGTTACTTAAGTAGTATGAAAAAGCACAAACTTCAACAAACTTGAACGTCCCAAACTTCTTTTTCAGAGTACATGTCAAGTATTACCTCTTTTATGTAGTACTCCTTACCCTTTCCTGGAAAAACTGACTTACTCCATTTACGTGTTGCTCAGGAGCTCAGTTTGGCTTGTTATACTTATTTTGAGACACTACTATAAGCTCTGAGCACTATACTCAATGCTAGTACTTTACTAATGTGTTTATCATAGTATTTGTTTTTCAGATTACCTACCTTTCTCCATAGCTAGACTGTGATTCAATGGAAGACAGACCCCATGTCTTATAAATCTATTCCACCACAAGGGCCCATCATAGTTCTTAGCAAAAAAATCTTCTGTGTCAATCATAGCAGAAATAAAGCTGAAAAAGACATAGGGTTTTCATATACATCATCAAAGTACTCACAAGCTTGCTATGGAGGTAAATAATAAAATTTTCAAGCATTGATCACCAGATGAAATCTGGTGAATATGGCTGCAAAAAAAAAGCCTACCCGTGTTATGAAGCAGGGTGACTTGCTTGGTAGATGCCAGTTAGCATCATGGTTTGTAGCCTGAGAGCATTTTATATTAATGAATTGGGAAACTAATGGCTTGTGAGACCCATTAATATTATTTCAGATAGTTAAATGTCAGTATCCACTGTAGAAGGGCAGAGACCTGACTCAATTGGGGAATGTCCTTGCAGGAAGCAGTAAAGCAAAGGTAAAAAATAAAACGTGTGGCCAGGAAAAGGCAGTAAAATTCAAACTACAGAAGCTGCACTTTTCCCCATGTCTGGGTCCCAGTAATGAACAAGGGGCTTAGAACAGGAAGTGACTGACAGATGTTAGAATTATCCACCATCCCCACACCAAGCATATGGGAATATCTGCAAAATGGTTCATGATTTTTCTGTAAAAAGAAACTGGTATGTCTATAATTCTTTACTCTCTGTTCTGGCCTCGGGATCTCCTGAAGGAGAGAGTAGCTTGGGTTATAGACAAATGCGACAATTACATAAGGTTAAAAACTCCTTGTCACTGCCATACTGGCCCTCAGATCTTTTCCATTTACTGAGAGGGTATCTGAAATTTCTACAATTCCATATTTTTTTTCAAGTAAGAACACTGGTAGCATCTCTTGAAATAGCATTACAGGAAGACATAAAGAGTAGAATGTGAGAGTAATACATATAAGAAATACTCTAGCCTAAAAGCTCACTTTAGACATGGAAAAATCAAGAAATGAAGAGTGAAATGGAATTGTCCAAGGAACAGAGGTTATAACATTATAGTGATTGAAATTAATTTATTACCAACTTAACAACAGGTACGGTGTTAGGCAAGGGCATAGTTGTTATCTCATTTAATCCTCAGCGTGACTCTGCAAGTAGGCTTTTATATCTTCATTTCACAAATGGGGAAGGTGACATTCAGGGATATTAATCAGTTTTCTTCAGATGGTAGAGTTAGTGAGGGACAGGAGAGCCAGAATTCGTACTCCACCTTAAGTGAAAGCAAAGCCAATAATATGAATCTAATTTATCAAAGATTTTGGCCAGCACATTTTAGTCATATTATTTCCCAAACTCTTAAATGTTAACCTACATTGGCTAAAAAGCAAAATTTTATTATCAGATGTTGAAATTTATTTTTCCTTTTTTTTTTTTTTTTTTTTTTTTACGTGAGGTCTCACTCCATCGCCCAGGCTGGAATGCTGTGGCGCAATCACAGTTCATTGCAGCCTCCACCCCTGGGGCTCAAGTGATCCTCCCACCTCAGCTTCTCAAGTAGCTGGGACTACAGGCGCATGCCACCACACCCAGCCAATTTTTGTATTTTTTTGTAGAGACAGAGTTTTGCCACGTTGTCCGAGCTGGTCTCTAACTCCTGGGCTCAAGCTTCCACCTCCCAAAGTGCTGGGATTATAGGCGTGAGCCACTGCGCCTGGCCTATTTTTCCTATTCTTAAAGTATTTTTTTTTGTTTTTCTCCACCAAGAGAGTTTCCATCTTTCCTTGTGTATGTTGAGGTTTCATCCATGTCCAGCAGGGGCTCTGGCCTTTGCAATAAAATCTACTTATGCACCAGATGAGAACATTGCACACTAACTGGAAAATCATTAAAAGAAGCACTTCCACGTGTATACTTTAAGATTAATGTCTCTGTCCTCATTTATGAACCAGAGAGATGTGTGTAAGAACAAATTGAGGCTATCAAGTACATTTTGCCATTTCTGTCTTCCTCTATAGAGCTCTTCCCCTCACAACCCTCTAACCCTGCCCCCCACTATGCTTAACATAACCTGCAACCTTCAGACTCACTCATCTGCCCATAACTGAGGCCCAGCCACTTGTGGTGCACAAAAGGTTCAGTTCCTACAGGAAGGCATCCAAAAAGCATAGCCGAGTAGCACTGATACTCTCAACTTAGAAGGGCCTATAAGTGAATTGAAACTAGCAGTTTCGAGGATACAGTATGTTCCCAAGCACTGCGTTATGTAGTTTACAAACTAAATTGTGCTTATTCATAATTTAACAACTCTATTGGGAATATAATTAAATTGGGCTCTTAGTACGTATGAAGAACTATTAGAAATGTTAAACAGGCATTGATTTGTTTAATTTTAAATAGCATTAAAAAACTTTAAAAATTAGGGCAGTAACCCTCAATGTTGTCCAAATTCCAAAGTCACTTAACTTGTAGTAGCAGCTCATTTTTTCCTGGTGCTTTGTTTTTAAGTGAAAATGTATTTCAGAGTCCTGTTTAACTATATTTTGGGTTTTAAATTTCCTGGGATGAATATCAGTCTGGATTATCTTCTAAAAGACAAAAGGCGAGAGTTGTCCATGATTGTCACAAAAATCATAAAAGGTGACCATTCTAAGAAGCTTTAACATTACCTATTCCAACAGCCTTCTACCTCCCATTTTGCAAATAGGGAAGCTGAAATCCTGACAGGTGATATGGCTCAAGCCATGCAGCTAGTTAATGACAAGGTCAGTGTTCAAATTCGGTTCTCCTTTGACACATTCCCACAGTCCTTCCAGGATAATACAGAATCTGGTCCCCTGCCTTTGTCCATCAGAGAAAACAAACTAAATAGAAACCCAAACATGCAAAATCTATGAAGCCTAAAGAGACCCCCATTTAACTACATAAAGGGCTACTTTGATCATGGCCAAATTCTTCAATGACAGCATCCTAAGTGAAAAGCCTGCTCTGTTGCCTACAGAAAAATGTCCAAATTCCTTATTATTTTTAGATAGCCCTTAAATATGTTTGATCTGTGCTTACCTCTTGGCTCTATACTACTGTGGCTATTTACCTCAAAATAAATATTTTGGTATCACTTGAAACAATCCAAACCAATCCTCAACTGCTTTTTCTAGATATCCTTTTGTATCCTTCAACAGGCTGTTTTAGGACAGTATTCACACAATGTTTATTTAGTGAATAGAGGAATTTGGTATTATGCTACACAGTACAAAAAGCACAATGAGATTCACCCACTTAACTATAATTCTTTATCCCATTATGTAGCATCTTGACACTATATAGAAATTTATTCTCCCTGAAGGACACAGAAAAAAAATCTTGAAATTCAGAAACGTGCACATCACCAAAAAAAAAAAATCTATATTCTTTCAATTTCTTCCTATCCTAAATGATACTAAAGTGACAGAAAATACATGCCACAGTCTCCCAAAGTAAGTGCAGGCTTCTTCTGAGAAAGCTCTGTTTCTTAGGAGTACGCACTATCCGTTTTTTGTTTTTTGTTTTTGTTTTTGTTTTTGTTTTTGACGGAGTCTCCCTCTGTCACCAGGCTGGAGTGCAGTGGTGTGATCTCGGCTCACTGCAACCTCTGCCTCCCAGGTTCAAACAATTCTCCTGCCTTGGCCTCCCGGAGTAGCTAGGACCACAGGCCATGCCACCACACGCAGCTAATTTTTGTATTTTTAGTAGAGACGGGGTTTCACCATGTTGGCCAGGATGGTCTTGATCTCTTGACCTCATGATCCGCCTGCCTCTGCCTCCCAAAGTGCTGGGATTACAGGCGTGAGCCACTGAGGCTGGGCCTCAGTATCTATTTTTTATACAAGCAAAGAAAAACTACAGTTCTTGCCACTAAAATTCAAAGTGCTATACACATTGCACAGTGAAACTCAGAAAGATTCAGAGAGAATCTAATCTAGCGCAGTGTAGCTGGTAGACAATGAAGTTTCCAACAAATTAATTTAATTGGTTTTACAATAGCAAAAGGAAGTAACTGTGTGCATCTCAAAGTTCCCTTGGGAGCAGAGCTGAAAGTAGCTCAGAGAATACACAGGAAATCTACTGCAGATCAAATTTTCTTACAGAACAGAGGCCCTACTGTGTTACCTAATTGCAATGTAATTTTATATCCAAATCACTTGTATTGTCTTATTATTTCTTTAAAACAAAAATACTTGCAGAATGCATTTAATTAAATATACTCTATTATAAAGTGTTAGGAGAATTCATGTTAATAGGACACAGTATCAACTGATTAATGTGATCAAACATTCTTACCTACATAATTTATAACTGCCAGGTACGTTTATCCAAACTACAGCAACGTTTGCAATTTAAAGGATTTGGAAGAGCTTCAGAGGTTACATAATCATGAAAGTTCATGATGGCAGTAGGGACTAAGGTCTTTGTTTTTACTCATCAGTAATTTCTGGTATTTTTCTATAATGAATATATCATACTTTTGAACTAAGATAAGGACTTATTATCTTTAAATGTTTTAACTGCTTTAAAAAGAGGAAAGTGTAAATTACACCAAGAACTGGAAGATAACTGTCAGATGCAATCAGGAAAGGTTTTATGGATTAGAAGGTGTACCAGCTAGAGTTCTAGATCTAGGGAAAAATATTTCAAGAAGCAATAGTGTTAGCAAGCCTCCAAAATTATATATTTGAGTGACTAAATTAACAAACAAAGCTGTGAAGAGTAATTGTTTTAGTAGAAGCAGGTAGTCTAGGAAAAAGGATTACATAAAAATATTTTAAAAATTGGATATCTTTAAGCATTCTTCTCTCTACTTTCATATACTCTAATAAATCCAAAGTAATCTCAGAAGGAGATAATATTTTGTCCATTTTACAGCTGAAGAAATGAATAATATAGAGGTTATAATGACTTATTCTCTCATTCATACAAATATTTAAATGAAGAAACTACAGTATGGCAGCATTGTTTTAAATGCTGGAGAATCAGGAAGAAACACAACTGATAGCTCTCTCTTTATGGGAGAGCCCCTGTCCAGTGAGAGGAAGTTTCTGGGGTAGGACCTGAGAATCTTCATTTCTCACCAGTTTCTGGGTTATACATTTCTGCTAGCCTCAAAATCACACTTAGGCCAACAAAGGGAAATCCCACATGGGTGGAGCCTAATGAATGATTGGCTTGTAGAGGTGGATGAGGTGAGAGAGGAAGGCAAGAGTTCCTCTGGATTTATAGGTCTTGTTGATAATTCGATACTTTCTCTGTGAGGACAGTTATTAAAAGATGTTAAGGGAGATATAGGTAGAGGAGATAGAATACTATTAGCATTTTTCAAAATGGTAATTTTTGCTGTGGTTTGGAGAGTGGACTGGAGAGAGGCAAGGTCAGAAGCAGAGAAAACAATTAAGTTATGCCGAAGCTGAGAAATGATGGCAGCTTGAACTAGGGTCATAGCAAATAGAGATGGAGAGAAGTGGATGAGTGTGACTTAGCCTAGTTTTTATAGCTAGTTAATTGTATATGTGTTGTTTGAATTCAGAAGTTTTTTACTGTATAATCGGCATTCTATTCAATTGCTATTGAAGTACAGTTGAGGATCAGCAGCAGCAACATCACCTGAGAATGTATTGGAAATGCAGGATCTTAGGCTCCACCTCAGACCTACTGAATTAGAATCTGCACTTTCACAAGATTCCCAGGTGATTCATATTCACACTAAAGTATGTAAAGCACTATTCCACTATAAAACAGCTACATTGCATCTTACAAATTTAAATAATGTATGCTTTTGAATGGCAAAATCTATGAAGGAAACTTAACTTTTCTCCTAAGACAGTCTAAAACCATTTATTAAGATGTGCATATTAATAAAAAAAGTGTTGCAAAAATACAAAGATATAAATTCAATGATGATAATCATATAGATTAAAATAAAATTCAAGAGATTTAATGACTATATATTAAAAGCTTCAATTTAATGATCATTATATCAAAAGTTTCTGGGTCTTATTTGTTTCTTTATCTGTAACTGAGATATACTTGGAAAAGAGAAAAGTGGTTTATTTAAATATTTCCCTAACTCTACAAATTTTTTTATGATATCAGCAAAGGTGACAACATAAAAATAACATCGTCCAGGGGAGAAAAACTTTTGGATGCAAGGTAATCTATATACCTTTAATATTGGCAATTTAATATTTATATCAACTCAATATGTGGTTTTATACAAAGCACTGAATCATTAGACAATTTCCAACTTTAACATTATGATAAATATTCACAAGCCAAACAAAAGATGTACAGATTCTATTAGATGTTCCATTCCTAGTTTTCTGAAACCTACTATGACATCCCTAATGACAGTTCATCTTTTGGGCATGTGTTAAAGGGTATCTTTCTAACATTTTTCATTTTAGTTTTATTCTTTTCCTTTATAATTGAACACACAGTTTATTGAGCTTAAGGCCATTTAGGACGTGATAAGAGGTTAAAGTTGAGGCAAACTTAATGATCTTCAACTTTCCATAATTTTATTGAATTTATGAAACCTATGTCTCTTCTCCCCAGTCTTTGCAATTTCATTTTTCCCTTTTCCACCTATTTGTATAAAATAATAAAAGCAAAGTGAACAAAATATTAAAATAATTTCACAAATGGATATTGCCTTACAAGCAGAAGTGTCAACGTAAATAACACTGAATTGCTGGCTTGTAGGTAAAACCATTGTTGGGTAGATTGAAGTGTCCTTACTAAACTGACATAGTTTGAAGTCGTTATAGGAAAATAGTTTGGGGGTATCAATGTATAATGCATGAAAATGCAAGTCCTTAAATAACACCATTTCATTCAATGTATTTTTGTTATAAGATTGATGGGGAAAAAAAATAAATAGATTCCCAGCCAGGCCACTGTCTGTGTGGAGTTTGCATGTTTTCTTCACGTCTGCATGGGTTTTCTCTGGGTACTTAGTTTTCCTCCACAAAGACGTGCCTGTTAGGTGAAACAGTGTGTCTCAATTGTTCCAGTCTGAGTGCATGTGTGTGTGACTGGCCCTGCAATGGAATAGTGTCCTGTCCAGGGCTGGTTCCTGCCTTGCTTCCTTAGATACCAGGATAGGCGCTGGCCACTCATGCCCCTGAGCTGCAATCAGCAGAGTGGGAAATTAATGATTGAACAAATAAAAAATATTTTAAAACTTTTTAAAGTATGCTATAATCATACAAATACATGACATAAACAATATGCCGCAAAAGCACTCAGGGAGCCCTCCATATTTGTGATTGATTTTAAGCCATGTGGTGATAGGAGGTGCCCCTTAAAATTTTCATTGTGCAGTCAGGCGAGGTGGCTCACACCTGTAATCCCAGCACTTTCGGAGGCTGAGGCAGGCGGATCGCCTGAGATCAGGAGTTCGAGACCAGCCTGACCAACATGGTGAAATCCCGTCTCTACTAAAAATACAAAAATTAGCTGGGCATGGTGGCAGGTGCCTGTAATCCCAGCTACTTGGGAGGCTGAGGTAGGAGAGTCACTTGAGTCAGGGAGACAGAGGTTGCAGTGAGCTAAGATCATGCCACTGCACTCCAACCTGGGCTACAGAACAAGAGTGCATTTAAAAAAAAAAAATTAATTGTGCAACATTTATTCCTTCATTTAATCCCCCACCACTACAACCACCATCACTCACTGATTTATCAAAAATTGGATAATTATTTGTGTTAATCTTTCTTAAATGTATACATAGCTCACATTTATTATAATTTTAATATTAGTAGTATTTTGGATCTTTATTTAGAAGTTTGGTGATGTTTTCGTGACCAGAAATATGCCTTAGGAACTTAAGTCTTGTTTATATCTATTTTACATAGCCTAGGGTAAAGTTGGTTTCCTCATGTGTCATTTCACTTAAAGCCTCAGTTTTCAAGAACCTTTCCTCAGCATTAAGTGAGGAGCAACTATACAAAATTTGCAAGAATGAAACTCAGTGACTATCTGTCTGTGACTAAATTTATTTCAACAAATTGAGGATTCACTTTTCAACTAATTTGTATTGAGGTACTATGTTGACTAATAAGATGCACCCTTGTCCTCAATAGATACCGTATTGAAGAGGGAAAGAAAGTAATACAGGCACAAGTGACTGTATTACATTAATGCATTTAAAAGGTAACATTTTAAGACCTTGAATTTCAATGAGTAGAAATAAGAAAGTATGTGTATTTCAAATGAGTAAAATATAATGAACAACAAAAGTAGAAAAATGCAGTGTATTCATAATAAAATATAAGGTAAAAAATTATAGGTCATAAAATAAATAATTACAGCTAATAATTTTTTGGTCATTGACTTTTTTTCATCTCTGACTTTTTATTGCCATTCCCTTTTCTAAGAGTCACTTCATTTAATTTTCACAATTACACTTCATAGTATTATGTCTTCTCTGTTTTCATATAAGGAAAGTGTACCTAAGTACAATAACTTGAACAAGGCCATACAACTAGCAGGTGGGCAGGTAGAATTGGACCATCACTGTCTGTTTAACCTGAAAGTCTATGTTTACCCATACCCTTACTAAACAACAAGCATAGTATGCATACCAGGAAGTAATAGGAAGTAAGGCTAGAAAGATTTATCTTATTTCTGGAATTTCATAATATCTGTGAGTTACTTATGAGTGTTATTACAGGACTTATGCCAAAACATTACTATCTCTACTTTTTCTGACTATGTCTTGTCCCTGCAACTGTTTCTGTTCTCTAGTACACGTATCCCAATGTAGTATAGTTATGAAATATATAATTCACTCAAACCAGTCTGTGAATATAAACAATTTCTTTCTTTCTTTCTTTCTTTTTCTTTCCTTTCTTTTTTTTTTTTTTTTTTTTTTTTGACAGAGTTTTGCTCTTGTCACCCAGGCTGGGTGCAATGGCGTGATCTCAGCTCACTACAAACTCTGGCCTCCTGGGTTCAAGTGATTCTCCTGCCTCAGCCTCCTGAGTAGCTGGGATTACAGATATGCCCCAACATGCCTGGCTAATTTTTGTATTATTAGTAGAGACTGGGTTTCACCATGTTGGCCAGGCTGCTTACAAAACTTTGACCTCAGGTGATCTACCCACCTTGACCTCCCAAAGTGCTGGGATTACAGGCATGAACCACTGCACCCAGCCACATATAAACAATTTCATCTATGTCCATAGCTCTAATATACAGCCTAGATTAGGTTATCACTCAATAAACAAATGTTGAATGGAATCTGGAGAGGAATGAATGGAATCTGAAGAGGTTTTACATAAGAAAACCAAATCATAGAAAGTATTAAAAAATTGGCCCAAAGACATAGCTAGGAAATTAGTGGCACTGGCATTCAAATTCAGGTAGTATGACACCAGAGGTAACATCTCAAATACTTTACACACTGCTTATCTTACCTGTACCACAACTACCACCAGCACCATTTCTTCCAGGACCACTATTAATATCACAATTGACTTTTCCTGTCATTTTCATAAAGAGAGAGAATACTGACTTCCTCTCCTACGAGAGAAAATATTGACTTGATGTTAAAGAAAATTCTCTGCCTTCTAGGGCACCACATCTCTATCTGTTAACAATTATATTTTCTGCAAAGCAACATGATATGGTGATCATCAACAAAACAAAACATTTATGAGTAAGTGTTGCAAATTCAATATAAAATAATCAGATAACCTAAATGCTCATTTGAAAAGTCAACTCCCAGTTGTCTTTTTAAATTTGAGGATTAGATAGAAAATCAAAATACAACATACAACTCTTTATAATCAGGTGGCCAAATTAGCAATTACCATTCATTAACATGATTTACATACTTTTATAATACCTGAGGTGGTTAATATTACATTTTGATAATTTCTTTATCGGTAAAAATATAAGTATCTGTAGGTGTGTTGAAGGTGAACTATTAATAGCTTCATTCCTTCCCGTTAGAATTTCACACATAACCTCTCCGTAGCCTTCATGTTGTTGGACCACATTTTAGAGAAGTTCTCATTATAATCATAGCTATTTGGTATTTTGAGAACTAATTACTTTGGCTAGAACCTAGAGTATATCTAAGTACTAAATTATCCTCCAAGTGAAGACAGTCTGAGCCAGATCTAATCACCAGAGAAAACAATAGCATCTTCATACCTTCCCTTAGAAATTGACTAGTTAACTGCTTTACTGTGCAGCCAGCAGAACAAAAAGTATAATTGAAGCTAATGTGGCTCACAAATTGAGAAACAGAAAGTCAAATGATTCATTCCTCTCCTTTTGTGTCCAGTCTACTTTCAGGCATCTCTAAACCTGATTCACTTTATAGGATTTATACTTACTCATTTTTTACAACAAAAAATTGAGATATGCTCTATTACTGTCACCATTTTACATAAGAAAACCAAATCATAGAGAGTATTAACAATTTGGCCCAAAGACATAGCGAGGAAACTAATGGCACTGGAATTCAAATTCAGGTAGCATCACACACTTTACCCACTGCTTCTCTTACCTAGACCACAACTACCACCGGCCCTGTTTCTTCCAGGACCACTATTAATACCACAATTGACTGTACTAGTTACCCTTTTATCAAGCATTTCTTCTATATGAAGCATAGTGATAAGGACTTTACTGGTATTAACTTACAAAGCCTCTGAGAAAGCATTATTATCCCCATTTTGGAGGCTCAGAGAAGTTAAAACTCAACCTGCTAAACTAAACCTCTTTGAGCCTAGAACTGAGGCTCAGAGAGATTAAGTAATTAGGATTATGGAGCTAATAAATTCAAATGGCCAAGAATCAAATCCAAATCCCTCTGATTCCAAAAACTGGCTCTCAATGTCCAGCCTTTCCTTGCTTTATCTCAGTGTTTCTCAAACAAGGGCAGTAACACTTCCTAGAGGACATTTGGAAATGAGGGGTATGTTTTGTGATTGCCTAAAGGCATTGAAAACAGTATTAGAATTTAGTGATGGTGGCCACGAATGCTAAACATCCTTCATTGTGCTGGTATGTCCTACAAATGAAAGACTGTCCCACCTCCGTCAAAAACCTCCCACCCAAATGTCAGTAGCGCCCCCTTTGAGAAACACTAAGCTATCACTTCTTTTCCCATCACGGAAGGGTTTCTCATGTTGTGCATTAGCTAAAGTATTTTCATAAACTGCAGCCATATTTCATATCTAGAGGGGCTGGGAAATGGTGAAGTTACTTTAATGTGGGGTTATATGTAGTAGTGACTTTTCTGAGGCCCTAAGTCAGTTATCACTTAGGTTCCTCCAGGGACGGGGATCACTTTTAATTTTAAAAAGCAAATGAGGGCAACTGACACATAAGTAATGCAACTCAGCTTCTTTGATCCTCTCTGGAGTAATGTAAATTAATTCTGATGATGCCTAAGTCAAATATTCAGTGAGGGAAATATGAGATCGCTGTGCTGCATGATGCAGGAATTGTTTGCTGCTGCTGTTTTTCTTGTTGTTGGTGGTTTATTTGTTCGTTCACTTACATTCCACTTGACAATCTATTTATCTACCTGTACCTATCGCAGCCACCTAAGGTGTTCACACAAAACAACAGTTTGAATCTGTGATTACATTCCTTTTAATTTTCCAATCCCCACTTCCAATCATGACAAGTGTTTATTGTTCTCTCATATGTTGTTACTATATGCTAACAAGCAATGGTTTGAGAAAGAGAGAAATGTCAAGGTGACAACTAAGAAGACAGAGGGTAATTTATCTACCTCACAGGTGAGAAATATACTAAAATCTCTTTAGGTTGGTATTGTAAATCAAAGGTAGAATTTACTTTGCTTTTGTGTGGAAAAAATAGAAAAAGCAACAACAGTGTCATGTGCCGTAGGGCTGTGGGTTAAATTACAAAGAGTCTCTTTTGGTTGCCACATTAATCACCCTCAGGGGATTGGAGCATATTTCTCACAGACATTATTCTCCCAATGGTCCTGTGAGGTCAAAGTGGCTATTCCACAGATGAAGAAAGTGAGGCTCAGAAAGTTAAGTAGCTTACCTAGGTCATGAACCTAGCAAATGTCAATGCCAGGAGTCTACATCATGATAACCTCTTTCTAAGAAGGCCCATGTTCATCTGATCAGGCCACACTGAGTTAACCGAGCTCATTAATCCAAGGAGTGGTAAGGGCAGCTTACGTTTTGTATATTTTCTAAGTATTTTCAACAAACATTTGCATACCATGTGCATTTGTTCTTCATAAAACTATCAAGAAGTAGTTAGGGAATCAAGAATTGATTTTTTTCAGAGGAGGACAGTGAGGATCTGAGCCATGCAGGAAATTTTCTAAGGTCAAACCCAGCTAGTAATTGGTAACACCATGATTAGAGAATCAGACACCAACATCAAATAATGTTTTCCAGTACAACAAATACCATCTCTTTGAGAAATAAAGTTCATACTTATAGCCTCAAAGGCACTTGCCTTTATAAATCAGTTCATTTTCACTAGCCAAAGAATAAGAAGGTTATATTTTTAAAGTAAATCTTGTGAATATCTACAAATTGGTACTTAGCCACATCAATTGATAATTAGTAATTAAATAGTTTTTCCTACAGATGTGTTAGACTAGCTGAAGTGACATCTACTGCTCAACCAAAAACTTTGTGTTCTCCCATGAAAAACACTTAAATTCTCAAGGCTTTAGCTTTCTCACAGGCAAAATACAGATATTTTAAAGCAGATGTGATCATAATATAACATTAAGAAAGAATTTAAAACAATTGTAAAATATTTTACAAATTTGAAATTATTGTACACAAACTTGTTTATACTTCTGTTTCCCATGGTTTCTGCCAAAACTTCTTAAATAGTAGACTAGCACAAAAATTGCATAAACACAAACACAAGTTTGTTAGTGACCTCATTTATAAAATATATGAATACCATGTTTTTTTACTTTGATATTAAAATTTATAATTCAGGTTTTGATTAACATTTTAGTAAATATTTCTTAAACTTTAGTTTCTTATTGACTAACTTTTGAGAGGAGAAGACAGTCAATGTGGGCAATAATCTTACTCTAGATTTGGTCTTCCCTTTGGGAAATCCAAGCCAGAATGCAAATATTGCTTTGTTGTTGCTCAAAACCTACAACAAATAAAATGGTACATTTACATCCGTCAATACCACCCATTGAGAATAATTTTCTGATTTCCTTAGCATGCCTTTTACAGAAAGAAAAACTTTTGAAGCAATTCTACTCAAAATTTTCCATCCCATCTCTGAGTGGGTTTTAAATAGGAAATATGCTCTTTCAGGATAAACACCCTGATTCTAAGATAACAGCTTTGAGGAGAGAAGTGGTAGGAAGCTGGCTCTTCCCAGATGGCTAGAAGTATAGAGAGTCACTGTGAGTCCCAGGCTTTAACCACAGAGCTGCTACTGCAGCAGGCATTGTATATACCCCATTAGGAAGAAACCCAAGAACCACCCACAGTCCTCCAGCATTTCTAGAATTAAAGCAAGGAGGCTCATGCATTTAGCCTGATACCAGAAGAAACTAAGAAAAACTATGTGGGGACTTGTAAAAACCTCTTTCCACAGGGAAGAAGAAAATAGTGGGTAGAAGTGCTATAGTTTCCTTTTGTTCTAGTTGATATTGTATGAGCTTGCTTTTTTTTTTTTTTTTTTTTTTTTAAAGAGCTCAATGCTACAGAGCGCAAATTCATCTGTAAGTAGACTATTGGGATTTTTTAAAGGTTATCCATTATTCTAATTAGCCTGCAGAGTTTATTCTGCAGGAACTCCAATGTTTTTGGAAACATAATTAATACATCAACATGTGTGAGACCCGTAACAATTTTTATCAAATAAGGGAGAGTGAGTGACTGAATGACTCAGTTTCACTATGATCGGTATAGCACTGAGGTGTGAGAAAGCATGATACATTTATGGAAATGGATCCATTGTAGCCACAGAACATAGGAGGTCAGCAGAAGAGAAAGTGTGAGAGGCAAGATGATGTCATATCCTGAAGGGCCTGTGAATGATAACAAAGATCTATCCGGAAGGTGTGGGGCCATTGTATGGAATAGTAAACTATTTAAGGGTTCTGTGTCAAGAATAGTACACTCAATCTCTATTAAAGTCCACACACAAGAAAATGAGATTCAGTTTTAATTTGAAGAACTTCTACTTACGGAGCAAGTGCCACATGCCAGAGGATTCATACAGAACTCATCACCACCTCATAAGCTAAGCATCATTCTCCCCATTTTACAAATGAGAAAACTGAGGATCAGACATGTTAAGTAACTTGTTCAATGACTCACACAATAAGTGGTGGAGCAGAGTTTTATGGAAACCTGATTCTTCAAACCTAGGTTATTGATCTCCATGCAGCACTGAGTCAGGGAGAAGGTCAGCTGTATGAAATAAATGGCAGTGTTGATATTTATAATGAGAAGGCCTCATGTTTTCCTGCCTGAGATGGTTTATTAGTAGTCCTACCTGGAACTCTTCACATCTGTGCTGTCCAAAAAGGTAGCTACTAGTGCTCCTGTGGCTACTGAGACTTGAAATGTGGCTGGTCCAGATATGCTACAAGTATAAAATAAACATCACAGTTTGAAAATTTAGAATATAGAATTTAAAATTTAGAAACAGAATGTATTTTAATATTGTTACATAGTTTATATGTTGAAATGATAATGTTGGGGATATATTTGGGGGTTAAAGAAACTTTTTAAAATTAATTTTACCTATTTCTTTTTACTTTTTTAAACATAGCTAATTTTAAAATGTAATTTCCACGTGTAGGTCACTTTATTGGAAAGTACTGGTTCAGATCCTAAGAGAATAGAGATGATAATATACTCTTTGCCTTTGAAGGCCTTGCCTTTTTTCATAGGATGGAAAAGATTCAAGGATATGTGGCTGTTGCTGAACTTCTCTTTCAAAAATGAGAGCTTCTTTTGGTTGCCTGAGCCATGATGAGGCCATCACCCTGGGCCCTGGGCTAGGAAAAAGTTAGTTATAATTCCACTTTCTCTTGTCTTAACTAAGAGGAGTCCTATAAAAAATTAATTGCCTTCCAGTATTACAGTATTTTCATTTGAAAAATGGGAATAGGAATATCAACCCCAAGTTATTGTATGGAAATTAAATGAATTAATCCATTCAAAGTGCCCATCTCACGGACTGGCTTGTGATAAATGCTCAATAAATGTAAATTTGCTTCCTCTGGTTCGCCTTCCTCTTTCTGTGTCTGTCACTAAAGGCCACCAAGCCAGCCGCCCTAAAAACGTTATCTTTTTTATGGTGCCGTGGATGATTTTTTTTCCAAGCTCAAGTTTTCTCCTGCATATCATCATCACCCAGTAAATGGTAAGAGTGTTGCTATTTTTAAAGTTCAGCAGCTTGGGACTGAATTTATATCAAAGATGAAAAATATCTCAAAGTAAATTCAATTTATAAATATTTACTTGTTTGTATAATTTTTTCAATTTAGTGAACAAAATGCTAAAATTTGATGAGCAAACTAAGTTGTGCATGGCATTATTTTTGTTTTTAAGGTAGCACAAGGCTTAGAAAAGTCAATATTGTTTTTCTATCCTTTTCTCACATAATTTCCTTTATTGAAGCTTCCCCCAAAGTTTCCTCTTTCTTCAGCTTAAAAATTTGAAGAGCTTCCTATTTCTGAATGGATCCTAAAAGGCTGATGGCAAGTTTTTCTGGCTGTGGTCTTTGATTTGTAACTAAATATTCATTTATACAATACTCATTGAGTCACTTGTTAAGTATTTATTGAACACCTGTTATGTGCCATGAACTGACAGAAGTGAAGGGAATATAGTGTTTAAAAAATCAGATTTAGTGCCTGTACTCTCAAAGCTTATACGTTAGAGAAACAGACCCAGGTTCTATAGGTAACAAAGCATAACAAGAGACAATGAGGGAGAAGACACAAGAACTAAGGGAATATAAAAAGGGAGTTGATTCAGGCTGTGGGTGGTGATACATGCCTACAATCCCAGGACCGTGGGAGGCAGAGGCAGGAGGATCTCTTGATGCCAGAAATTTGAGACCAGCCTTGGGAAACATAATGAGATCCTGTCCTTAAAATAATTAAAATAAATAAAGAACCAGGCACGGTAGCACACTCTGGTAGCCCCAGCTACACTGAAGGCTGAAGTGGGAAGATCAGTCAAGCCCCGGAGTTTGAGGTTACTGTGAGTTATGATTGTACCACAACACACTAGCCTGAGCAACAGAGCGTGACAAAAAGAGAGAGATTTGATTGTAGGGTAAGGGAAGTCATTCCTGAAGCAGTAATATTTATAGCAAGACTATTAGAAGAAACAGCAGTAGGCTAGACAGATATTGTCCCAAACCACATCCATGGCTCCACACTCCAAAAACATTGCCAACTGTTGTTGCATTACGAAAAATAAATTAAAATTGGGCATTCTGGAAAGTCACTTTTGTCCAAGAGATGTCAATATGAAGACCAGAGTGATACGTATATTCATATGTAATTCATTTCTCAAAACTTCATCCAGGATCATGCTACACTTGAATAGTATCTTGGGGAAGTTATGGTCCTGATATCCTTTAAAAGGTGTAGTTCATCTCTGAATATTAAGTAAATATTGGAGTATCTCAGAAGGCATATAAAATAGGCTTTCAATGACCTGTAAAAGTACTCTCTTAATGGAATTCCAGGTATTATTTAGTTTTTTATTAAGTGAATTAATTCAGAAACATTCTCCATTTAGAGGAAAAAAATCCTCTGAGAGTCATTCTCCAAAGACTACATCATCAAGAATACCTGAGAGCAGATATAGAGTCTCTCATTAAAAATGGTAGAAGTTTTTGAGTGTATAATCATTTCAAACTTATTAAACACTTTTCTTGCTTGCTTGCTTTTTTTTTTTTTTTTTTTTTTAAGGCTGAGTCTTGCTGTGTTGCTCAGGCTGGAGCGCAGTGACTGCTCACAGGCACAATTCATAGTCTACTACATCCTTGAACTCCTGGCCTCAAGCAATCCTCTCACTTCGGCCTCCAGAGTAGCTGGGACTACAGATGCTTGCCACTATGCCAGATTTGAACACCTACTCGACTCTGGGTGCTTCGTTATACCAAATCTTTTTATCAGATGCTTTTATTCTCAAACTACCCTCCAAAGGAGAATTTCCCACCCACATTGTAAATCGAAGAAAACTTAGAAGATGAGTTTGATTGCTCCAGCCCACAGAAAAAATAAAATAGTAGTAAATGTATACATCAGTCTGAATTTCTGACCCTTGATTAAGCCTAGATTGACTAAAAAAACATTGATTAAGTTATTAATGGCTGGATGGAGAAAGAACCACACGTGGTCTAGGTTGTGTTGGTATTTAGAATGGAACCCCAGATACCATTCACTGTAGTGAGGAACCTTCACTAAGTACCCCAGTATTCTGAAACCGCTCCTTGAAAACTACCTTTAGAGAATTAAGGACCTCTGCCTTAGAGGGAAAGAAACAGCTATAGAAGACACATAATAAAATATGGTTTCTATGACTGAAGTCTTGGCATTCCTCAGTAATGCTTCTCAGGAATCACTTTGTAAAATGTAGGCAAATTTGACCATATGTCACCCCACCCCATCCATATACTTTGTTTGTTTGTTTGTTTGTTGACACGGAGTCGTGCTCTGTCCCCCAGGCTGGAGTGCAATGGTGCGATCTCAGCTCACCGCAACCTCCGCCTCCTGGGTTCAAGCGATTCTCATACCTCAGCATCCTGATAGCTAAGATTACAGTCTCCCGCCACCATGCCTGGCTAATTTTTGTATTTTTAGTAGAGATGGGGTTTCGCCATGTTGGCCAGGCTGGTCTTGAACTTCTGACCTCAAGTGATCCGCCCGCCTCAGACTCCCAAAGTGTTGGGATTACAGGCATGAGCCACCGTGCCCGGCCCCATATATTTTTAAAACCTTCATGTCTAAGGGTAAAGGAAAAATCTCTTTAACTACCCTCCTGTGAATTTTTTCCCCTCTCCTCCAATCCCAATACAGAAATTATAGACACACAGGGACCTATACAGTTGACCTTGGCCAACTCGTGCTCACGACAACATCTCAGCTTTGACACCGCTCCCTCCAAGAAACCTGTTCTCTTCTCCCAAGTAAGAATTATATTCCTGGCATGTATAATCCTATAGTACTTGAGGTTCTCTTCTTTTATCCTTAATAACTTTGTATCTTAATTGTGTGTTTACTAGCCTGTCTCCCCCACTGAACTATTAATGTGTAAACGGAGGTAGATCCTAGTTTTGTGGAGCCTCAAGTACACCTACATTTTTGGTAGAGATCTCTTTAATGAAAATAATTCAAAATTATAAATATAAATTTAGGTTAACAAGTAATTATTTATTTAGCAGGAGAAAAGAAATCCCATTAAATTCGAAATTTTAAAGTTTGACAAATATAAACATCTCCACGTACAGACTATTTAAATGCCTTTATACACTCTTACACAGACATACTTCTGAGCTTGTCCATTTCAAACCTACTGTTTTTTCCATTATCCATATCCTCCCAGTGTCCAGCACCAACAGACATATTTATATTTTATATTGTATAAATGTTTATACATTTATATTGTACAATGTTTATATTATACGACAGTTTATAAACTTGCGTCTCTTGATCAGGGAGCCTGGCAAGTATACACACTGGGCAGTAGAATTTCTAGATAGTATTTCTATCCTGAGGTAGCTAGTTGATATGGTTTGGATGTGTCCCCTCCAAATCTCATGTTGAAATGTGAACCTTCAATGTTGGAGGTGGGCCTAGTGAGAGGTGTTTGTGCCACTGGGCTGGATCCCTCATGAATGGCTTGTGCTGTCCTTGCAGTAAGGAGTGAGTTCTTGGTCTATTAGTGCACGTGAAAGTGGGTTGTTTAAAGCAAGCTGGCACATTCTTCTCTCTCTCTTGTCCCCTCTGTCTGCTCCCTTTTTGCCTTCCACCATGATTGCAAGCTTCCTGAGGCCCTTTACCCGAAGCAGATGCTGGCACTGTGGCTCTTGTATAGTCTGCATGACTGTGAGCCAAATACACCTCTTTTCTGTACAAATTACCCAGCCTCATTTATTCCTTTATAGCAATGCCAAACAAACTAACACACTGGTCTTCAGTTAACATACACAGAAGTCACTGTGAACCACATGCATTTATCTTACTAAGTCCAAACCATATCTTTGTATGTAAGAATTAAATTTCTGTGTATGCATGTATGTGTGTATGTATCTATTTATCTCTTGAACGCCAGTTCCCCTTTGGATCCCTAACGTTCTCCTGGGAACTCCAATGCCACTTTTTTTGAAAAACATTGTATGGTAGGAGAAAAGCTGGAGTACATAGGGACACAGGTTCAGATCAGTTACATTTAAAATACATTAATCTTGCAAATCCTACAAAAATATGTGACCATATGAATGCATTACTAAGTCTAAGCACTTTGAGCGGGCCTCTGCATATAAGGAACCCCAAAGCTTAAGTTTGACACTAGCTTTATAATAAATCTACTTTGGGATACAAAAGAACAAATATATATCTTTTAAAATCCTTTATTCCTAGTCCTGTGCCTGACATGTAGTAGGCCTAAAAAACATAATTTATTAAGTGAATCATTCAAATTCAGTTATGTTTGAGTTTTGGTCATATCTTTATAACCCATGACTCGCTTAGTAATAATAATAAAAGAGAAAGAAACGAAAGAGATAGTTGCGCACATTATGAGCGATGTGTTCAGATTAAAACGAAAGAAAACAATTTCAATTGGTGCTATGTGTATCATCAGACTATTACTATTGTTATAAATATCCTAATTCTGTCCCTGAGTTTTCTTGAGAGGTCATTTTCCTCTCTATGATCTGGAGAGAATAGAGAATTTAGCTTTTGAAATACTTTTTCAGAAAGGAGTTACTAATATCGGGATTGTGAGACCAAACGTCATGAAAGGTAATAAAAATGAAGGGATCTATGCCTACAAACAGGTAGATGGATACACAGACTCTGGTATCCACACAATGGAATACTACTCCAGAAATAAAAAGGAATATACCACTGACACGTGCTGCAATACAGATGAGCCTTCAAATAATTATGCTGAGTTAAATAAGCCAGACAACAGAATACATTATTCCATTTTTGTAAAATCGTAAAAATTGCAAACAAATTTATGACAGAAAGTAAATTAGGAGTTTCAAGAAGGGGGCACCATTGGATAGGAGCTATATTACAACAGGACAACAGGGAATTTTGGGGATGATGAGTGTGTTCATTATCTTCATTATGGTGATGAGTTCATGAGTAAAAATCTATGTCACAACTGTCAAGTCACATATTTTAAATATGTCCAGTTTATTTTCTATCAATGATACCTTAGTAAAGCTGTTTAAAATGTCAAAGAGGCATGTATTTATTGTTGTGTTACCAAAATAAAAGTAATTAATCAGCATATTTTACCACAGGCCCTTGAAATTGTAGACCCGGATATGTCCTGGACGTGTCTTCATTTGCCCAGATTTGTTAGTCTGCTTATGTAAGTCCTTACAGTGCTACACCAGCTCCTTAGTATCTTCTTAGATTTTTAAAGGGCATTGTTAGCAGAACATCCTTCTCAGCATCTCTAAAGAATCCCTATTTCTAAAGTGTGCTCATGGCCAAGAGGGATTTGACAAAGCAAATAATAGCCTATGTAATGAAAGAACAATCCTTATTCTAAAACAAATGCATGCAATTCCAAGACAAATTGATGGGATAAAACCCCATTGCCTTAGATCAACCTTTGAACACATATGACACAAGGTCATTTTAAGTGAAAGAATACATGCTTTTTCAATAGAAAACCAAAGTAATTATCAGATTAGTCTCAAGGAAATTCCAGCTCTTTATTAAACACCATGATATTTGCATTGGAGACCTCTGCAAAATTGACTTCAATCCCTTAAGATCTGGGGAGGGCTTTTATATGAATGATCTGCACCAGATACTGGGGTCTGCATTGCCTCATTTTTACGCCATGTGGGATATTTGTTGAATGATTGCATGAAGAAATATTAGTAACTAAGAAACAGTATTAAAATAAATATAGCTTGACTTCTTTTAATTCATGTTCTTTTGGGAAAAAGTATTTACATGTAATTTCAAAACAACAGGAGATAGACACAACCAGGGCAGTTCAGTTGCATATCCTAACAATAACTCTCATCTGTGTAATGCTTGTCTCAGTCAAGCATTATTTATTGTAAAATCAAGCATACTTATTGTAAAATCATGCCAGGTGATAAGTAAGGCAGGTATTAATTTTCACATTTTATTTTAGAAATAAATGACTCTCATATATTCACTACAGTTTCATATTCTTGAAATTTTGTTATAAATTGAGAAGTGAAATTTGTCCTTTATAGTCTTCCTTGGTCCATCATCCTCTGATAGCAACAACCTGCTACTTCTATACTTTTGCCTTTATCCTGTGCTGACACAGACAGGTTTAGACATTGGAGTGTTCTTCTTTCTTATGCTGCCCTTGACTTTCTGGGTTCCCCCAACACTCGGTTCTTTCAAGGCTCCGTCTGAGCCTTTGTTTCAAGGATTGCATGGCATGTAATATGTTTCCACTGATGAGTTACCTCCTTATTGATTTTCTGACCCCTACTTTTGTAGGTTTAATTACTTCCCCTAAAGACAGATATAAGTAGTACTTAGTACATATTGCTTCTCTTGCCCTTTAAACATACAAATATTCTAATGAAAACATTATTATATATACATATATTGTTCCCCAACTAGATTCTGAGTTTCTCCACATTGGACTAAAATAATTTACAACTGTTAGGAATTTCCTGGAGTTAGGCTGACCTCAGTTTGAGTGTTATGTTACCTCTAACACTAGGAATCTGGTTTTAGTGAATTTGCTTAATCCTTTACTGTCTCCTTGTTTTTTTCATGTATAAAATACAAATTATGATATCTGGCTTGCTGGGATGTGGTAAAGACTACATCATAAAATAATGTCTGTAAGGCATACCTGGCACATAATATATGTTCAATAAATGATAACTAATTTTAATGTTGTTTTGCTATTATTGCTTTCAAAGTGACAGTTGATACCCAGGAAATCAAAATGCGTTTTTTAAAAGCTTTCAGTTACTCCCCAAGTGGTAACTCCTTGCAGATTTTCAGGCAGAAGAATATAGCAGAGATCATGGAACAATATTTCTGAAAGCAAACTGACCCTCACAAACATATTGGCTTGATCTGACAGACCTAGCCATAGTGCAAATGAAGAGAATTGAAGCCGGAATGAGCTATCTGGGGTCCTCTGAGGCATCAAGTCCACAGGAGATAATGAAAACATACATCACTCGTAACCTTTTAGGCCAACTGGGCTATTGAACTTAACAGGAGCATAATGGCTTTCCTGGTGTCAGAAATTCTCCACCCCTGCCTACAGGTAGTTCATCAAATTGCTCCGTGCTTATTGCTTCAATCTGCATTGAGCTTTAATACGCCCTAAAAGCCTGAATCCCTTCCCTCAGAACTTTCAAGCCTCAGAAAATTGTTGTGCCTGTCTGCTGTACTCACTAAATGACAAAGACCCTGAAAGTTGAAAATAAAGCCTGTTACACTATAGAAGGAAAAAAAAAAAAAGACAGAAGGGAAGGCATGTTAAAAATAAACAGTTTCAAAGATTTCATGAAAAAAAAGTCAATGCAATTTGCAACTTCATTTGTTCCAGTGACAAGCTGATAAAATGTTGGTGGTACAAATGCATCAGAAAATTTGACACAAATTGAAAGTGACTACACATTCTATTATCCCCAATTCCCTTGGTCATGGAAAATGATTGTTAAAGACAGTTTCTAATATGTCTTAGAAGCATGAGGCTGTCTATGGGAAATAATACCCTCGATTATCAGGAAAGATAAGCATTCTAAAGGAAGCAAGGGCTACAGTAATTCTATGATCCAAACCTCACTATTCTGACTACTGGCTGTGCAAACACTTTCATTAAGCAATATTAAAATAAGCAAAGAAAATTGCTACCAGTGGAACACATTTAAAAATTGGGTATAGAAGTGACTCATGGGGCAGTGAGTCATTAACAAAAAAGGCAATGTGGTCAGTCAATAATTAAACCTTGCCAAGATATTTATTGAGATTTTCCTAAAGAGTCTTTCCATATATTTATATGGTATTCTATTCATGGAAAGCAATTATTTAAGAGAAAATTTTAAAATATGACATCAAATCATTTTTTTTTCTAGAAAGTTTTGAAAGAAACGGGAGTATAATTAGAATCTATTATGTGGTCTTTTGAATTAATTTCATTATTTTAGAATGTGGCTTTGTGACATTAGTATTGTATGTCTCATGCAAAGAATAATTATACAATGTAACAATCAAAGCACCTAGAAGCTTAATAGTTGGAAAAGATAAAAGGATACGAAATGCTTATGATAATACTTAAAATAATATCATATGAGAGTGCTTCTTTTCTTTATTTTACAGTTGGAAAAATTGATCTCAGAGAAATTAAAGCTACTTCCCAAGGCCATCCAACTGATAGGTGGTAAAGGTGGAATTTGGATTTAAGTCAACTTCACTTGAAACACTTAATTATTTCTTCTGTGCCATCCTCTTTCTATAGATTTCCAGTCCTGTATTTTATTCAATTCTGAATATATCTGCTTTATAGCATTCTTCAAAATCATATAGTAATTCAAAGAATATCTTCAGATTCATTGATTTGAAAAGTTCACTCACTCAAGTCATTCAAAAACATTTACTGAGAACTTACTAGTGCTTAAGTGTCCTTCTTGGATATTCACCAATGATCATAATAACAATAATAACAGGATTAGAACTCTTTCACTTGCAAGTAGGAGAAACCCAATCTGGACTAACTTCAGCAGCACAAAGAGATGTGTTGATGAGATACTGGAGATGTTTCCATGAGGAAAGAAAGTGCCATAGGAGTCAGGGCAGCTTTGGGGCTCTAAGAGATTTGTTTCTGTGCTTTTTCTAACCATGACTCTACTCTTAGTCTTCATCTCTCCTTTTCACTTCTGTTTGGGAGTACTGCTATAACAGACTACCATAGACTGAGTAATTTATGATGAAAATAAGTTTATTAGCTCATGGTTCTGGATGCTGGGAAGTTTAAGATTGAGGGGCTGGCATCTTGCAAGGACCTTCTTGCTGCATCCTTCCATGGCTGAAGGGCAAAGAAAGAACAAGAGGAAGACAGAAAACGAGACCAGGCTTGCCCTTTTATAATGAACCTACACATGTGGTAACAGCATTAATCTATTCACTCTGTCCTCCCATCCTAATCACCTCTCATTAGGCCCCACCTCCCAACACTGTTTCACTGGGGATTAAGTTTCCAATGCATGCCTTTATAGGGGACATATTCAAATCATAGAACTATATAACAGGCATTATTCTGGACATTTTATATGTGTTATATTATTAAATCTTCACAATAATCATATGAAATAAGTTACATTTTTATCCCCAATAAACATTAGCTAATTAAGGTTTAGAGATGGTAAATTGCTCAAGGAAGTATAGTCAGCAACTAGGTAAGGCTGGATTGACACAATGTATGACTGATCTAGGTCTTACAACCGTTCTATGCTGCCTCCAGTTTGGGAAACTTAGTACCTTTGGGCTACTATAACAAAATATCACAAACTGAGTAGCTTTAAAAAAGCTCTTACTTCTCATAGCTCTGAAGGTAAGAAAGTTCAAGATCAAGCCAGCAGATTCAGTGTCTAGTCAGGCCTACTTTCTTCATAGATGGCTGTCTTCATGTGTCAGAAGGGCTGTGTCCTCATGTGATGGAAAGGTTACAGGAGTTCTCTGGGCTATTTTTTTATTTTATTATTTTATTTATTTTTTATTTTATTTTATTTTATTTTATTTTATTTTATTTTATTTTATTTTATTTTATTTTATTTTATTTATTTTATTTTATTTTATTTTATTTTATTTTGAGACGGAGTCTCGCTCTGTCGCCCAGGCTGGATGGAGTGCAATGGCAGGATCTCAGCTCACTGCGAGCTCCGCCTCCCAGGTTCACGCCATTCTCTTGCCTCAGCCTCCCGAGTAGCTGGGACTACAGGTGCCCGCCACCACGCCCAGCTAATTTTTTGTATTTTTAGTAGAGGCGGGGTTTCACTGTGTTAGGCAGGATGGTCTCAATCTCCTGATGTTGTGATCTGCCCGCCTCGGCCTCCCCAAGTGCTGGGATTACAGGCGTGAGCCACCACGCCTGTCCCGGCTCTTTTTTATTTAAATTAATTTAATTAACTATTATTTCTTTTTTTAGAGACCGAAACTTGCTGTATTGTTCAGGCTGGATTGCAGTGGCTATTCATAGGGGCAATTATAGCACACTGTGGTCTGGAACTCCTGGGCTCCAGTGATCCTCCCACCTTACCCTCTTAAGTAGCTCAGACTACTACAACAACAAGCCACTGTTTTCAAACTCTAGGGTCTCTTCTATAGGGTCACTAATTTCATTTATGAGGCAACACCATTATGACCTAATAACCTCCTAAAGTCCCCACTGGGAATTAGAATATCAGTATATGATTTTGGGCATATTCAATCTGCAACAGAACCATTTTTATTTTGTTAACCATTACTATACATGATGTGGTTTGTAGGTCCAGGGTGCCCTATTTTGTTAATATTTTAGTACTTAACATCCTGAAAATACAGGATTTTGAAGCAAATGTCCTATATCAGATGTATCTGAGTAAAAGTATCATACCTATAATTTAGGCCCTTAATCATTTAAGGAAGCCACTGAATTAATTTAAAACAAATACTAGCATCAACATAGTTAATCCTGTTTATGCTTTGGGTCAAATATAATACTCAAAACTTTTCTTATAGCCTGATGCGAAAGCAGGGGTTTATCTCTTTTTGAAATTAAACACTTGATACTTTCTACCTTTATCCCCTATGCTGAGTTTTATGTGTATTTATTCCTAGCTTAGTTTTTTTTTCTTGATTTTGATAATGTCATTGGCAAATACGTTGAAATATGATCCCTTCATTTATTGTATTAAATATTATCAAATCACTTACCACATTAGAGACCACATGTTACTTATTTAATTTTTTGCTGTTTTTTAATGTTTGTTTCACCATTAAATAATAAATTTTCCAAACGTAGGGACCATGTCCACTTCATTCCCCATTGAATCCTCAGTGACTAGCTAAGTGTTTGGTACAATAGTCAACCAATAAGAAACTTGATTAAATAGATGAATCTACTGACATTTTAATATATAAAGCATACTTTTATATAATTTGAAATCAAATTATGTTGTTATTACAATAAAACAAAATACTTTTGTTTTGTATTTAAGATACAACTCTACAGCAGGTGATATTTGATGTTTCCCCACCTTTAGCTCCTGTGTCAGGTGGAAACATGTTCAGATTTCTTCCTGTCACCCTGTATTTGTTCAGTGTGGGCTTATATTGTCCAAACTTCTCCTTTTATACTGGGTAAACTCCTATTCTCTCATTTCAAATTTTTTCTATTATCACACCATATGTAAATCTATTTTGCCCTCTTCAAGGTAGATTCTTCTCCACTTGTGTTTCTACGGTTCGATTCAATTATTGTCCTTATCATTTTTCAGCTATTATTTGTTTAAATGCTTGTACCTTGGAAGATGAAATCTGTCTCTAAATCCATCTTTGTATTCCTTGAAATGAATATATATATATATATATATATATATATATATACATAATTTTTTTTTTTTGAGAAGGAGTTTCGCTCTTGTTGCCCAGGCTGGAGTGCAATGGAGACGATCTTGGCTCACTGCAACCTCTGCCTCTCGGGTTCAAGCGATTCTCCTGCCTCAGCCTCCCGAGTAGCTGAGATTGAAACTAATATTAATAGAGAACCTGGAACATAGTAGCTATTATCATGTCCATCATTATTATGATCATGAGAACCCTATGTTCTTGTGAAATTTATCTGTAAACTCTGTACCCGAGGTCCTACCACAGAACCACATTCTGAGGATGGCAATGATTCTGAAGCTGGTGGTGTTTAAGCTGCTTGGGAGCTGACAAAACACAATTCCTGAGAAAAAGCCAGTATGCTGAAGCAAAGACAGAATTGTTCAAAAATGAAGAAATTCGGTGTGGGGGGAGCAGAGAGGAGGACTATTGAGGAAATAAAGAAATAACTGATAGGAGAATATATTTTTCAACATGTACAAATGTTTCCATTCAAAACTTACATTCTAGTGTGAGTTTCCCTGGCAGATCAAGTGCTCATCTTATATATATATATTTTTTCCATTTTCTCTTTCAGATTACTTCCCAGATTTTCAACACCATCTATCCTCCTCTCTGTCTGCCAAGCCTTTTATTTGATATTTAGCATATGACATTAACTCCATGGCTAATTGACTTCATAAGACATAACCAAAATGAGGTGTATTTTTCTAATGAAAGACCACATTTGAAAATGCAAAATAAGATAACCTATAATAACAATGACTCATATCTGGGGAAGCAGCTAGGGCTCTGAAATCATAATAACTTTGGCTCAAATTCTGCCTATTACTCACTTTTGAGCTTCAGTTTCTCATCTATATGACTGAATAATACCTACTTCACATGGTGATTGAGTAAAAGAAATAAAATAACATATACAGAGTGTCTGGCCAATATGTGCTCAATAAATAGGTATTAAATTCAGTTGAATTAAAAGAAAATTGTATGTTCCTTATTTAATTCATTTTATTCAAGTATATCCCATTTTATAATTTTAAGGAACTTAATCGATTTAAAGAAGTAGATTAATCTGTCCAAGGTTGTCAAGTAATAACTGGAACAATCAGAATTAGAATGCACAAAGAACAAAGGAAAAGATATTTAAAGGGAGGTACTGTAACAACTACCAAGTCAGAAAGATTCTTGAGAATGTAGATGATATAATGTATTTTTGTCCCTGTAAATAGTGAATAACAATAAATTAATAAACATTTGACAAATAATAAATCATACTGGATTTCAAGCAGGGCTTGACCAACTCTTATCTCCTTAATCACCTGTATTAAAACAAATGCATGGCTTTGCTCAGTTGACATGCTCACTGATATAAATGAAGACCTGAGAGCTATTGCTTAATGCATGGAAGGCATTATTAATCTCTTTGGAACTTCAGGGGGGTTTTGGAAGAGAAATTTGATGGAGTTTTGTGAACTACTGTGAATAATCCTAGATTTCAGAGAAAAAATAATCAAAACCAAAATGATCTCAGACAAGTGAGACAGTGGCTTCATAATTCCATCCCACTCAATAAGTCTTTTTTCTAACATTCATTAAAAATCTGAAGATTTCAGAGGAGTTTACGCTTTATTCTGGACAATTAAGCCCATATGCAACAGGTATTTATTGAAGAAGGATTAACAAAGTCCTAGATATTTATGTAGCTGTGATCCTGGAAGCAAGTGCAGAGACAGGAAGTTCTTTTTTTCCCCCTTATTTTTACAGTAAGGAAAGCCTGAGGCACTTTTCAATGAAGCTCCTCTAGGCAACGCTAAGGGCCTGCCTTACTCCTGAGCATACTCAGCCAGTGAAGATGAGCAGGAGGTGATGAAACTGGAGAAGATTAAAAGCATCACAATTGCAGCCCTGCTTTAACCCTCATTCAATCAAGGAGCATCTAGTAAACAAGATTCAGAACACACAGGCCCTCAGGTCAGACCCTCTGATCAGCTGACCAAGCACACATGCCCACAACTGTACCTAGCAGCCTGGAAAATCACACCTGAGGCAGGGTCAGCCACCTTCGTCAAAGGAGGAAAGGCTTTTCTGCTCTGGGGCCTACAGAGCTGTTTCAGGAATCGTGTCCGGAGACCTCGGGACACAGTGATAATCATCTCATGAATTTGGAAATTTGATCTGGAAAGGGCTTTGGGGATTATCTGTACACTCTGCTTCTTGTACACATGGGAGGGGCCTTTGTGAAGTGTCTAAGTTACAGTTTCGAGAGTCAGGACCATAAGCACATCTCCTAACCTTTGATACATATTGCTGCATCTCAGGACAAAATTAAATAAATGATCTTTGGGACAAGTTATTGATTCCCAATAACCTATGACACTTTTCAGTATCTCTTATAGATAAAGTTAAACTCCAGGTTTCACAAATAGCCAGCTCAGTACTTGTGTGGATAAGTGGGGTACCCATAAAAACGCAAGTTCTTCAGAGATTGTGCTCTTGGTGCCTATGCTAATCTGGGAATTTTAATACTTTATTACTAAAAAGTAAAAGACAACATATCAGAAGTGCCTAGCTAACAGGGCAACGTCTGACACATCTTGGCACTGAATAATAATAATAGTTAGAATGTTTAGCATATTCCTTTTGCAACAGCATTAGTTCCTTTGCTCATTTTTGTGCCTCATCCTTTCACTGTCCGCACAGAAGCCCCCATGGCTCCTTTCAAATTTACCTATTACAAATTTGCTCTTGGTTCAGTCACTCTGCAGATATTTAGCTGTCCAGAAACCTAGCTTCCAGGGATGTCCCTTCATCTCTGGTACTGTTCATCTTCCATTCACCCTGACTCTTCTCCTTCTACATGGATGCATGTGTGTTTTTCTCTGCATCCTATTTTGAAACTGAGTAGCCTTTTCGTTTTAGGGATCTGAAGATGTTAGGACAGAAATCATTACTATTAATACATAATGAAATGATTCCTGTTTGACCATCAAAAATAATCATCTTAAATTGAAACCAAAAGCCTAATAAACTCTAAAAATATGTATTATAAGAAAAAGAAAAAAATATATTTTCCAGACTGGCAAACACATAAACAAATCTCTTCAGCTTAAAAAAAGAGGTTACCAAAATTTATGTCAGAAGAAGGAATGTTCTTACTGAATCCCTGAATTAGAGTCCTGGCTCTTAGTTTCTGATGGAAACAGGAGGGCAGAACAGGCCAATTCACTTCACCCAGCCGATGTTCCTTCACCTGTGAAATGAAACTAATCAATGTCCCCTGCCAGTCCTGAGGTAAGGAGTCATTAATAAAGGCACACAGCAACAAATATTCACATTCATGGATCCTTAGTATGTCCAGTATCTTAAACTCTTTGGATGATATTTTGTTCCAGCTTCCATATCCCACATGAGAGAGAAATCTTTTTTTTTTTTTTTTTTTTTTGAGATGGAGTCTCACTCTGTCGCCAAGGCTGGAGTGCAGTGGTACCATGTTGGCTCACTGCAACCTCTGTCTCCTGGGTTCAAGCAATTCTCCTGCCTCAGCCTCCCCATTAGCTGGGATTACAGGCACCCGCCACCATGCCCGGCTAGTTTTTATATTTTTGTTTTTAGTAGAGACGGGGATTTACCATGTTGGCCAGGCTGGTCTCGAACCCCTGACCTCAAGTGATCCACCCAACTCGGCCTCCCAAAGTGCTGGGATTACAGGCGTGAGCCACTGTGCCCGGCCTAGAGAGAAATCTTATCCCCATTTTACATAGGCTAAGACAAAGTTCAGATGTGATGCTATATGCGCTGATTACTTTTTGATCAAATAATGCCATGGAATGTCATTTATTTGTTATTATTATTATCCCTTCAAAAAGTAAGTGAATACAATATTTGCAAAGAGCTATGTTTGGCTTTCATCAACGAAATGAAGCTGTCCTTCTGTGCCCATCTCTTTTCTTGAATTACAAGGCTTTGCAAATGTACTGTCTACACCTGCAGACTCTGCTCATGTATGCCTCTTTCCCTACTCATGCACTTACAATCTTCGTCTTATCCCCAAAACTCTTCAAAAAGGAAGGATAAAACAAATCATGTTTCTGTTCAAACCAAAAGGAGGCCAGAAATTGCATCACTATCTAATTCACTGGAAAATGTCTCTCCCTCTCTCCCTTTTCCCCTAATTTCATACCTCATTTTCATTTCCTATTCTGTGATGAGAATCTTCTTAGATAAAATCAATATAAAATTCGAGTGAATGGATATCAGCTTCACTCTGGGGGAAAATGACATTAGTTCACTATACCAACTCAAAAAAAACCCTAAGGGTTTTGAGGACTGAGTTAGCTTAATCTTGAATATACTCCACACATCTTTATCAAGCACTGCTAAAGTCCTGGGCGTAAATTATTCAATAAGAAAGATGCATTTTCTATTCTTATGTGATCACACATTAGCAGACAAGACAGCTTGTCTATGTCATTTAAGGATGGGGATGGAAAGTATGAGCTTGTGTCTTGTTTCACTTACTTGACAGTAGAAATAGTAGCCGTAGTCATGGTTGTTATACTAATAACTAACCTTTATTGATGTTTCCTACAGGCCAGGCATTGATCTACCCACCTTGAAGGTATAAACTCATTTAATTACTGTTCTAAATTACAAAATTTGCCACATACTGTTTTCACTGTTCGGTATTTTTTTATGTATCCATATTAATGGGTAAGACAGCTGGGCATTCAAGGAATATTAGAATATCCAAAATCAAAAAGGAACTTAAACAAATTTGCAATCAAAAAATAAACAACATCATTAAAAAGTGGGCAAAGGACATGAACAGATGCTTTTCAAAAGAAGACATACATGCAGCCAACAAGCATATGAAAAAAATGTTCAACATCACTAATCATTAGAGCAATGCAAATTAAAACCACAATGAGATACCAGCTCATATCAGTCAGAATGGTTATTATTAGAAAGTCAAAAATAACAGATGCTGATGAGATTGTGGAGAAAAGGGAACACTTAAACACTGAATTAATATGAATTAATTCAGTCATTGTGGAAAGCAGTTTGGTGATTCCTCAAAGTCCTGAAGACAGAAATACCATTCAACCCAGCAATCTCACTACTTGGTATATAGCCAAAGGAATAGAAATCACTCTACCATAAAGAAACATGCACACACATGTTCATTGCAGCACTGTTCGCAATAGCAAAGACATGAAATCAACCCAAATGTCCATCAATGGTAGAGTAGATAAAGAAAATGTGGTACATATATACCATGGGATACTATGCAGCCATAAAAAAGAATGAAAACATGTCCTTCACAACTACATGGATGCAGCTGGAGGCCATTATCCTAAGCAAACTAACATGACAAGAGAAAACCAAATGCCATATGTTCTAACTTATAAGTGGTAGCTAAATACTGAGTACATATGAATGCAAAGAAAGGAAAAACAAACACTGGGGCCTACTTGAGGGTAGAAGGTGGGAGGAGGGTGAGAATCAAAAAAGAACCTATTGGGTACTATGCTTACTACCTGGGTGACAAAACAATCTGTACACCAAACCCCTACGATATACAACTTAGCTATATAAAAAACCTGCACATGTACACCTGAATCTAAAATAAAGTTATAAAAAAGAATATCATAGAGCACTAAAACATCACTGGAAATAAAACTTAATGGAGCAAACCGTATTGGACAGAAATCTTGTCATGGAGAAGAAAACTAGTAGTTGAAAAATATTTTCTAGCTGCTGAGCATGAGGATGAGAACCCTTAGGGGGATGGTTGAGTCACAAGAGTTTCTCTCTAGAGTGCCTTTAGGAGTAGATGGGTCCTGTTGCTTTCCATCTTTGTTTGTTTTTGTCAGATGGTGGGGGTATGATGGAATCAAAAGTGGATTGCTCTCCATACCAGCCGAGAGATTGAGCTTCGGCATCCATGTCCCCTGCCAGTCCTTCATTCCATTCTCAGAGCATACTCTAAACACGCATTGGAGAAAGCTCAAAAACTGTAATTCAAACAAGCATCAAATTATTAACCTCTTAGGTTATCTTTATTCTTTAGGCATTTGAACTTCAGAATTATGTTAAGCAATTGCCTAGTTTACAAATCCTTCCTATTTGGGCACCTGTCTTGCTTTCCTTAGCTGCCCCGCTTCTGCCTCTGTGCATGCATGCATTTCACCACCACTACCTCCCCGATTCCTTTTCTAAATATTTGTTTATCTTATTTCTCTACCAAGTTTGAGTTCCATTAACACAGTAATTTGTCTTATTTATCTCTGTACTCCATTGCTGGTGTCCTGCATAATGCATAATATGGGTGTAATAAATATTTGCTAGATAATTTTCTACTGAAAGAAAAAATCCTAGTGACTTGTTTAGTAATTCACACCTACTACATCTAAGAAAATCTAATGCACAGATCAGACATCAAATAAATATTTGTTGAACGTCTATATCATCATCTGATCCCTTGTTCCTTTAAATAATTTTCATTTCTTCTAACAAGAGCAAATCATTTTCTTCCCTTTTCTTCGAATAGTCTCTTTTGCTATTCTTGTCTTTCAGAACATCCAGAAGTGCCTTCGTTTTTCAAAACTCTGAAGTGTCTTCAAAAATGTGTTATTTATAGACTAATTGGCAAAACCATAGAGGTGCTATGATGGCAGCTCAATTTCTGGGTACAGTCTTATTTGGTTCATGATAATTTGACAAGTTGGCATGTTTGAGGTTAATGAGAACATTCATTTTAAGTGACATACTAGACATTTAGGGGAGCAACAGTCACACTAATGAGGAATTACATGTTATACACACTGCAGAGTCTTTGCAACTTTTCTTTAAAAAACATCATGAATGATTAGCTCTGCTTAACTCTAGACCATACGAGAAAGGGCAAAATCCAGACTTCTAAAGAGAAACAGGATGTATCTTTTGTTATAAATATTTTATTGTATATCATTACTCATATAACTATTCACATATGAATATACTAGAATATTTAACAAATTGTCAGATGTGGCCATTATCATAGGCTTTCTGTGAAAATGACAGCTACAAATATAGGCTGATCTGAGTGTATTAGCGGGATGTATCTTAATAACTTAATGTGGGAGGTAGAAGCTTGAGGTGATAGCCTAGGTGGGCAAACATGGCCATTGTCCCCTGCCTTGTGTGGAATCACAAAACAGAATTAAAGTATTTGCCTGCATTACACTGAATATAATTGTTTATAATAATACCAGGGAAATGTCACTGGTCCTCATAAATATCCTTTTCAAATGAGCTAACCTCTCTGAATATCGAGAAGCAACACTTTTACAAAGGCATTCAGTTAGAGAGCCAAATGGCATTCAAGTTAGGCCCATGGGAAGAAATAATTCAACAAGATATCATTTACTAAAAAAATATTTACTAGCACCTACTACATGACAAGCACATTGCCAGGTGCTAGAGAAACAACAGTGAACGGCAGACTTCCTGTCACTGTCCTCAAGGAGCACATAATTTAGTGGGAAGAACTTGCAGTTCCAGTAAGCTCAAGGTTAACATATTAGTGGGTAAGAAACTCTACAGATGAAACTAGAACAAGCGAATATTGTCAAAAAGAGACAAATCTGGTTCTTGTTGGGTAACTGGAGCCTACTGATAATTAGTTTTATGAAGATCTTTGTGTTAATATTGGGTATTTTTTAAGAAACAAAACAGAGATATATAGCCTCTGTTTGAAGCACAAGTTCAGTCATTTTTCCAACTTGGCAAAAGCTTTATTTTAAGTCCAACTTCTTGTGCTTGTAATTAATGATCTTGCTTGCCACTTCTTCCGCTCGTGTGTGGACATACTTGACAAAGTGTATATGTAAAGAGAGGTCTTTGAGATCACCATATTTAAGTATACACATGGAAAGCAGTAATAAGGGTAACTAGCGTTTGTATTATGACTTACTATTGACAATGTGCTCTGAATATGCATTATTGCAGTGGCTTCTGACCCTAGCTGGGTATCAGAATTCTGTGTGCAGGTTGTTAAAATCACCTATACCTAGACCCCAGCCCTGTAGATTGTGTTTCAATGGGTCAGGAGATGGTATTTTTCAGCAGCCTCATGGATGATTTTGAATTGTTGTCAGGGTTGAAAAACCATCATTTTTTGTAATTTCTTTTTCTGCTGTGCCCCTGAGAAATAGGCTTTATTAATGTGCCATGAACTTTCATGCTTTGGTGTTTAGAATGGTTCTCCTGAGGCACCTCCTCGGGGAAGCCTTCCCTAATCACATCTTCCACCAACACCTTCACCACCCAGGCAGATCCAAATCACAAACATGCACCTTCAACATACCTTTGCTTTGTCATCTTATTGTGCTGTAATTTTTATCTTCGTTGCTTATATGTCTCTCCTACTTACTTTTGAGCCCTTTAGGGACATGCACTATTTTTTTTTTTATCTTTGTATCTTAAGAATGCAGTACATTACTTGGACATGATAGAAATACAATTAATAATGATAATAATAATACATTGTGCTTATCATGTGCCAGAAACTATTTATATAGCATTGTATATGCATAAAATGATTTAATATCCATGCCAACCATGTGATGTAAGTGAGGTAAGTACTGTTGTATCCCTATTTACAGATGAGGAAATTGGGGTACAAAAAGCAACCTAATGACACACTGCCTGTTTAATGAAGGTGCTAATATCATGTCCATATCACAGAATGAAAAAAAATGCTTTTCATTTTACAAATGAGGAAGCTGAAACTCTTCTAATCATACCAGTCCTTGAAGTGTTGGCCATTTATACCATGGTTTAGATACTTGCTCTTACAATAATTACAAATACAATCAAGAGATCTGGAGTTTGGGGGATTCTCCCAATTCAGTATATCCTGTGTCTGATGCTTCTTCTAGATTGTGCTATTCCCTCTGTTAAATGAGGGAGGCAGAAGACACCAGCTGAGCCACTGCAGTGCATGTGCCTCCAGTTGAAAATAGATGATGGTAACGAGCAGTGCCAGCCATCTGTTGACATACTGATGAGCCACTGAAAAAAATGGAGTGCATTTGTTCACATTTCCAGATTATTTAAAAATAAGGAGCAATGGGAGTTATTAAATTGGGCAATCTGGGTTCTAAGTAGCATTTATATACTTTTTTTTTCCTGGATGCCTTCTTTAAAATTAAATTTTTAATAACCTTTAAGCTTTGCAGCCTTGAGGGAATAATTTCTTTCACAGTAGTTCAAAGGTTTAATTTCACAGTAAAGCTTTTGAAATATGGTATTATCCCTTTTGTTCTAGAAAATTACTGTTTAAAAAAATCATATTTCAAAGTAATGATTGTAATGAGAAAAAGATATGAAGCCCAACTTCAAAAGGGAAAAATGATAACCTCGCCTGTGATGTCCTCTAGTGAGCCTTTCCCTCATGGATTCTAATTTGTAACAATTCGAAAAATCTTTGGAATTGTGCAGCCTCTGCCCAGTTATACAGGCTGGGCTGCAGTCTAGGAAAGGGGGGTTTCTATAGACATAATCGAAGCTATTAGCTTTCTTATATAAATAAAATGCAGTATGTCTTCAGTCCTGCTGTGTGTGTGCTTTCTACAATGCTACTTCCAAATAATGTTATCTGTGGAGTTCTAAAGACATTTTCTTGAACGTTAAAGTCGTGTGTGTAGTTGCAGAAGAGACGGTGGAAATTTTCAATTGCAGGAGAGCCTGACAGGGAAGGGGAAGAGAACTAATAAATATTGAGCATCCAGCTTGTGCTAGACACTGTATGCTGGGCTTCACATATATATTATCTTTTATCATCTTCGCAGCAGCCCTCTGAGATAAGTGTACTATTAGTCTCATCATATTGATGGTAAAGCCTCATTCTACAAGGGATGCTGCTCACCTTCTTACTTTAAAAATAAAAATCCTCACTGCAACTTTTAGTTCTAAGTCCCACGGCCCAGTCCTCACTCTATAACAGTACTTAAAGGGATTTATTAATTTTCTTTTCTTTTTTTTCAAGATAGTCTCACTCTGCTGCTCAGGCTGGTGTGTAGTGGCATGATCTCAACTCACTGCAATCTCTGCCTCCCAGGTTCAAATGATTCTCATGCCTCAACCTCCTGATTAGCTGGGACTATAGATGCATGCCATCCTGCCCAACTAATTTTTGTGTTTTTAGTAGAGACGGGGTTTTGCCAGGTTGGCCAGGATAGTCTTGAACTTCTGACGTTAAGTGATCCACCCACCTCTGCCTCCCAAAATGCTGGGATTACAGTGTAAGCCACCACACCCAGCCTGGGATTTATTAACTTTCAAATTAATCCTCATTATTACACATTGTATGCCTGTATCAAAATATCCCATATATCCCATAAATATATACACTTACTCTATACCCATAAAAATTTTTAAAAAGACATAAAATGGACTAATGAAGAAAGGCTAATGGAATGAGAACTATACATGCATAGCAGAAATAGAGCCATATACATTTAGTAAAAATCGTACTGCTGTTAGCTACTAAAGGATCAAAATGTAGGGGGATGTGGGTAACAGATAGGGACACCAGACAAAGACTCAGAATGAATGGATACCATTTCTTGGCCTGCAAAATCTTGGACAAATCACTGATATTATCTTTGCTTCAATTCATGCACCCAAGCAATGGGTGCGAAAGATATGCAATGTTACAGTCAAATAATAAAGGGAATAAGAACGGGAAGAGGTTTTCTGAACTATGACCTACCATGCTAAAGATACCCATGGTAGTTCACGCAGGCTCTGTGTATGTGGATGGGTGATCATTGATTGTTAAATGTTTTCAACACAGTATTTCTCATTCTTCATTGGAAAGATTAATTTAGACATTTTTCCCACAACCACACTCCAAAATCCTTAGTGCAGAGATTATCTTTTGTTCATCACTATATTTATCATGTATTATATGCTCAGTACCTGTTTGTTGAAATTGAATATTGCATTTCTATTTATGCATTAATATATTAATTCAATTAGCATGAATATCTACTAAGAAGTGCAAGATAATCATTAGAATGGAGGAAATTTAATCTAGAAGCTTTAATGAAATAACATCTTGAATGTCTTATAGAAATATGGACTATAGATTTTAATGTCATAAACTTTATTTTTGCTCTTCTGTATCATTTAAACTTTGGCTTACATAATAATAATAAGATCTAACTTTTGAATACATACTATTTGCCATGTTCTATGATAAGCAGACTGCATGCATTGTCTTATTAAAACCTCCCAATAACTCAAAGATGTTAATAGTACTATTATAAATATTTAGGAAACTGAGGCTTGGAGAGGTTAAGTAGTTCAAGGTCACAGTAAATATAGATGTTAAGATTCAAAATTATTTCTCTCTGATTCATAACTATATCTCTCTGATTCATTTATTTATTCATTCAACAAACCTTTATTAAGTTCTTGCTGTGTGTCAGATGCCATGGTAGGTATTGGAAATACAGTAGAAAAATAATATAGGCACAGTCTTCACACTTGTGAATTTACTGCCTAGCAGTAAAAGAAAGCTATTAGGCAAGCTATTAACAAGCTATTAGCTTGTTATATTTGAAACATATATAAAAAATTTTCTTCTTTCTGATAGCTTCCTTATGGAGATAGCATGGGGATGTACTCTTTTATTCATTTCATCTTCAAGGAGTCATTTATCTCAACTAATTTACTGCTTAGCTTCGATATTCTCAGCCACTAATTTAGACCTTAATGTTTAAAATGATACCTATCTATATTCAATTTTAAATATCATGAAACTATAATACATCATCTAAAAACAATAGAGTGGCTATTAAATACATGTGCTCTCATGACCCTAGATTGGTCTCCAACAGGCATATCTCAGAAAGGAGTGTCTTTGCTGGTGGAAGGACTGGGTTTCCTAGATTGATACATTTCAACCTTGTAACATGTCAACCTTTTCCGATAATTTCTTGTCTCTGAACCAAGAAGCCCTGTTTGGTAAATGTAAACATATGAAATTTAGATAGAAAGAGCTCCTACTGTGATCTATATTATGGGTGGTTGTGGTATATAATTAAATGTATGTATTTGGTCTTTGTTCCTGGTTCCTGGAGGAGAGTTCCTAAAAACCCCTGGAATTTCCTGAGGGACAACAGTGACTTTTGTTACTAATAATCTGACTAATAACAGGGACTTTTGTTACTAATAATGAGTCACTAATAATGAGCTAATAATATCTCAGTTAATGTTAATGAGGTAACTCTTAGCAGGCCCCTAGATAGCTTCAGGATAGGGGCTGGTCACCAGAGAAGCCAATACTGTGATTAGAGGGTTAAAGCTCTCAGCTCCACCCCAACCTCCCTCTGTGGAATGGAAAGGGCTGGACATTGAGTTCAGTTGCCAATGTCCAATGATGCAGTCAATCTTGTCTGTGTAATGAAACTTTGATGAGAACTCTGAAACAAAGATTTGAGGGAGCTTCAATGCTGGTGATGTGTGAATGGGTAGCATTCTTAGAGAGGATCTCACAGCTGTGTACACCTGCTCCTCCATGCCTTGCCATATGCATCTCTTTCATTTAAGTGTTCCTGAGTTGTATCCTTTATAATAAACCTGTAAGTACAGTATAGCACTTTTCTAAGTTCTGTGAGTTGTTTTAGCAAATTATCAAAACTTATTTGCCTATCATGTGAAGGGAGCCCTGAATTTGTAGTTAGCCAGGAGAATGTGCAGGTAGCCTGGGCACTCCATTTGCAGCTGACATCTAAAGTGGTGACAGTCTTGTGGACTATCTGTGGGGTCTGCCAGTCCGGGTAGCTTGTTTCAAAATTGAATTGAATTAAGACAATTTGTGTGTGAGAATTGGTTTGTGTTGGAACGATGTATTTGAATTGTTTGGGAAAACTGTAGAGTGGTAGAAGTTAAACTTGGTTTCACCAAAGGGTCATGACCAGGCTTAAATTCTGATACTGTCATTTAGAATTTGTATGACCTTGGACAAGTTACTTGATTTCTTGTATTCTCTGTTTCCATAAAATTGAAATGTTCAAAAGATAATTGTTAGAAAGATTAAATTAGTTATTATAAATATAGGGTTTTTCTCAATAGCTGACACCTAGTATTTAGTAATTTTTAATTTTACTTCTCTTTTTTCTCCCCCCACCAATATAAGTTCTAGAACAGGCTACTTAGTAATAGCTCAGAAACCCCGTAAGTTTCTAATTATACATATTATATTAGAGAAACTTCAACATTTCTCTATGAACTGATATCTTTCAGAATGTCACATACATCTAGAAGAGGAATAGAAAAATTAAAACTTTATTTCAATCTCACGTGTCATGTATATTTTCCTGATTTTCTAGATGAGGATGTTGCCCAAGGAATGAAGAGACTTGGTTGATGTCATAAGGTTTCTCAGCGGTTGTAAAGTCCTTTGTTTTCAGCCTGTGACTCAGCCTGTATATTTCTCCTGGCACAGTTTATAGCCTAGTGTCAGACCCTGTGTCCTCGTTTGGGGTTTGGAAAAAATAGTCACCAGTTTAAACTATATGACAACTAAAATGCAAAAGATAGTGTAAGAAATGGCACTGAATTAATTAACATTTACAACATATTAGCTATGGGATATGTTTTTCCAGGGGCAAGAGGTAGAAATAAAGGGGTAGAGTGCGTCCAATAAAGAGTTAGAGGTGCCTTTAAGGTGTAACCACTTAAGTTCTTACAAAACCAGCTTCTCTGATAAGACAGACCAGCCAGCTCTACGTGTTTTGCAATTTTCAATACACAGTTCCGCTTTCACACTTCAACAATTCATTTTCTAGCACTTAGAATCCAGAAACCTGCTTTCACTGATGTAGCTAAAATTCAAGGAACATAGTTTAATAGCAAACATCTCCACTTATCTCATCTCATTCCCTAGTAAATTGTGTTGGAAAACATGTGTAAACAATACCAAGCAAACGGAGCATTTATGGTCTCCTTTAGAATGTGTTCTATTTGAATTCTAGATTTAGTGACTTTTAGAGGGTAGCCACTTTCCATAATAAAAATGCAAAGCTTTCTAAAATGAAGTTTCTAATACTATCATAGAATCTTCAAACTTAGATTCAAATAGAACTAACATACATAGAGCATCCAATTTGTTCGTGTACTGCTCTGAATGGTTTCAATCTCTGTGTAGCAGGTATTATTGGTATTATTGCCTTCATTTCATAGACAAGGTGCCTAAAACTGGTAGAAGTTAAATTATTTTTCTAAGGTTGGAGTTGAAATAGAGCTTAGAGGTTGCCTATTCTCAGGTTTGTCCCATGGAAAAAAAATTGCTAAAACATTTTTGAAAGGATAAATCCTAATAGGCTTGGATGCTTCCTACAATGAGGAATTAGTTACTAACTTTACACTTTAGGAAATACATATGAAGGTTAAAATTATCATGACACATTCCAGAAGTTGCTTCTACTCTGAAAAGTCATTAATTCTATCAGAGATACCTTCCAAGAACAAGGTGCCAGTACATATTTAACATATTTTCTTATGTTCAAATATTGAACAATAACTGGATACGTCAGATAAATAAAATAATCCTAAAGAGGTCTTCTTTCCAATGATTTTAAGTATTAGGAAAATAAAACAAATGCCTGAGAGTGTATGAGGTGCCCTTTAAGTTCATACATGCCATACACATGATCACAAATATTTTGTTCCTCAAAGAAACGGAAAATGATTTACTGAATAATGTATTTAGTGATATTTAGATACTATAAGCAACGATGAAAATTCAGTTTCATTGTTTGTCAACATAGCTCTAAAGTAATCCAGGTGGAACTACTGCTGAGTGAAAAAATTAAGATAATCATCTATGTAAATTACCAATGTTAAACAGGCTATGACAAACCATCGAGGTGTCCCCTATGATATAAAAGTGATGTTATGGTTTATCAGCTGTCTTGTTAATATCAATAATGTTATCCATGATTTAGCCTTTGCAAGTCATTACTTACTTAGTATTAATGCAACTAATTGCAGTAAGGCAGCTAATAATAATAAGCATCCACTTTGTACTAGACACTTGGATGGCTAATATGCACATTTTACATATTTTACCTCCACACCTTATAAAACATTGGTAAGATCTTTTCTAATCTCACAGTTTCATAGACAGATCACCACAGCTCAGAAAAGTCAAATAACTCTTAAGTAACATTGGCAAAATCTGTCATACTCTTACAATTTCACAGATGAGGAAACCAGAGCTCAGGATAGTCAAGACTCATCTGGTCAGAACCTGATGAGTTAAACCCATCTCTTTGGCACTAAATAAAGGGAGGGCTTCATTCCTCACTGCCACTTTTCAGTATTTGAGATGATAAGAGCAAATCTCAGTATAATAAAGGAGTGCATTCATCCCTAAGCAAACAGAGCTCTTAACTGAATGTTCAGCACATTAAAAACGTGAATGTCTATCAGATTAACATGTCCTATATGGACTGTGACATCAATGGCAATCTGACCACTGAAGCTTCCTATTTGTGGTGTGGAATTGTAAATCAGCGAGACTATATTTCTGGAGACCCTCTAATCTAGATAGAACTGAGTTCTGGCCAAGTGATATGAATGAAAGAGATGAATAACACTTTCAGGTCTGGACCATAAAACCCCCTGACTACTGCTTCATTGTCTCCTATTTGTTTATGCTAGCTGGCTGTCAAAATCCAGGGTGATCTTAAAACCCAAATATTGAAAAAGATGAACTCTCTATCAACTAGGTTCTTCAAGCACAACAACCCTCCTCTACCTCCACCTTCTGCGGACTGATCTCTGAGAAAAAATTTCTCTTATAGCAAAACACTGAGACTTGAGAGTTTATTTCTTAGAGTAGTTAGTGATATCTAATAGACATTACAAGACATACATAATATTTCCAGAATATAGTCCAGATCTACACAGGTCAAACCAATTTTGTGGAAGAGAAAAATATCGTAATAAAATTAATTTTCTAAAATTTTCTTTTAGGAAAGAATTTTTAACTTTGGTCAACAGACTAAAGAAAAAATATTACTTTGAAATGATGAACGACTGTAACTTTGGATGGCACTTAGCAGAACTATTAATAAGAAAGCCACTACTTTTCAGTGTTCTTGGAAATAGGAAGCAGAATTAGTCTGTTTCAGGGATTGGAGATAAAGCAAAATGTCAAAAGAAAATGATAATATACCACAGCGAGATTGTGGTGTGTTTAGCAACAACAACAACAAAAACAACAACAACAACACAACCAGATTTTGAGTAAGACTTAAAAAGTCAAAGTTATACAGTTGAATCAGCCTCTTTTTTTCTCTCCTTCTCTCTCTCTTTTTATTTCTTTCTTACCATCTTAAAAGTAGGTTAAAAATGTTGACCATGCTAAAAACAACACAACCATCTATTGAGAACCTTCGATGTTCTAAAAAATATTGTCACATCCTTTACATGTTATTGTAATGGTAATACTTAAAACAGCACCATAAAGAAAGTATTAATTTAGCCACTTTATAATTAGGGAAACAGAAAGATTAAAGGAGATGCCTGTAGTCAAATGGCAGGAATGGGTGAGAACCAAGATATATTTGCCTAATTATCCTCCTCTACCCAAAACACCTCAGGCTTCCATCTCCAACAACATGAGGACTCTGTTCTCTGCATTTTCCCTTGTGCCTGTCCAAATGGTGAAACTAGTGGTGTTTAAGGAGCTGCCTACTACGTAGCCATTCTGTAGAATTTGCATTTGTTGGTCACTCTTCTTTAGGCAGGCCTCGTACCCCCATCTTCTTGGTCTCTTCCTAACTGTACCTACTTCTGGGCCTCCTTCACTTTTTTCTTTCCCAAAAGACTTGACCCACTGCTCTTCTTTCTAGGAAAATTTCAGTTTCTCAGGTCCCCACACAATTTGTCAGCAATACTTGGAACATTTTTTCCCTCAGTGGAGTGTCATTATTGAATTTATGTTTGAAGCTCGTATATTCGAAGATAAGAAATGCATTTTATTCTTTATATACAGTCGGTATTTTATGTTGCACACTTATGCAAAGGACATGTTCTATATAAATCTTATAAATGAAAATGTGAATGTGAACATGCAAATCTGGTAACACTGTGAATTGAGATATAAATAGAGGAGTCAAACACATGAAACATTTTCTTCAAGTCAGGAAAAATAGATCAAGGGAGACAGAAAAAGATTTGCTTCAGTGCTTGGGACCTTGTTTTTTGCCAAACTCAAGAAATGCAAACAACAATATTGACTTTGTAAGGTCAAAGTTACTGAGTTTTAAACAAAATGACTGCGGTGGAAGGAATATTTTTTGATGTACATCAAAAAAGGAAAAACATATTCTTAGAAAAAAAGCTACAGCTTGCAGGTCATTAGCATTTTAATCCTTAGACAAATAAAAATATTTTTAAAACTATTCCATAGGGTTATAAGAAAAGAAAATTAAAATTTTTAAGGGCCTACAATGTTTCAGGAATTTTATTAAATTATTTAATCATGAAAGCCCTTTGAGAATAATTAATATATATTTTATACATAATATTTATATTACATTATATTTATATATTAAGTATATTTTATATGATTATGTTTTATATGTCATATATATAAATTTTAAAGAGCAGAAATTTGAGTTTATGGCTGAGAAGTTAGGTGATTTGCCCCAAGCCTTAAAACTGGTGAGAGGCAGGATTGCGATTGGAAATTAAATCTGACTAACATGGGCAAACATTATAACTTTAAATAAAATGAGTTAAAAATCACTCTTCAATATTCAGCCTCTGAAAACTGCATTTATGATCTTGATAATCTGCAAATTTTATAGCATACAACTCTACAGTCCTTCTGTGGACACTATAAACACTTAGATATAAGATATGTTGCATTTATTATTCTTTGCTATGATATTTCTGTTCCCAAACCAACCTTTGATATCTTTATTCATGTATCCCCTATGATATAACAATTTGATTTATACCACCAACATGCATGCAATATGAGGTATGATTTCCAATGGTACCATATCATCTTCAAAACAATGAGAGAGTGGAAAATAGAAATAGAACATGGCATGTAGGGCCAGCTGCCTTGGTTAAAACTCTGGCTTAGTCACTTGCTCTCAGTGTGATCTTGGAAAAGTTGCTTCAACTTTTGGTGCTTCAGTTTTAAATCCTGTAAAATGGGGATAATTATAGTTTGTAACTCATAGAGTCGTGAGAATCTAATAACTTCATATAAGAAACATGCTTGTGACAGTGTTCTGCTTAAAACAGATGTTTAATAAAGGTTAATTATTATTCTCAAATTATTTTTCAAAAATTGACACATTGAAATTGTACATATTTATGGGGTACAATTTGATATTTCAATACATAATATGTAGCATAATAATCAAATCAGAGTATTTAGTGTGTCCAACACCTTATGCATTTATCATTTCTTTGTGATGAGAACATTCAATAGCCTTTCTTTTTTTTTTTTTTTTTCTTTTTTTTGGGATGAAGTTTCTCTCTTGTTGCCCAGGCTGGAGTGCAATGGCACGATCTCGGCTCACTGCAACCTCCGCCTCCTGGGCTGAAGCAAATCTCCTGCCTCAGCCTCCCGAGTAGCTGGAATTACAGGCACCCACCACCACACCCAGCTAAATTTTTTTGTATTTTTAGTAGAGATGGGGTTTCACCATGTTAGCCAGGCTGGTCTTGAATTCCTGACCTCAGGTGATCTGCCTGCCTTGGCCTCCCAAACTGCTGAGACTACAGGCGTGAGCCACCGTGCCCAGACAAAAGCCTTTGATCTAGCTATTTTCTAATATATAATACCTTATTGTTAACCACCTTTGCAAAGGTTATACTGTCATATTTCCTCTTCTAGCCCTTTCCAATACCTTTCTTACACACAAACTTTATATCTAAACCTAGAAAATTATTCTCCACACCTTGGAAGCCTTGGACGACTCTGACTTTTCCATTAGAACCAAGATCTGTCCTTGCCTCATCTTGGAAGATTTCCTTGATTGTTCTAGGCATGGTTAATTGCTATTTCTCTAAACTCTCACAATATCCATGTATCTATCAGGGTATAAACTCTCACAATATCCAGGTATCTATCAAGGTATATGACTTAGTAGAAATTCTTACTTATGTATCCAATTTTGACTTTTAAGCATAGTTTATTTGAAGACAAGAACAATATTATATTAATTTCTATACTTCAAACAAGTTGTGTGCTCATAGTAGACACCCCAAACATAAATACATGTTGAAAAAATGGATGAATGAATTGGGATGACAATTTGTTTCAAAACAATATAAGTGCAGCATCCATGTAAACTGGATCTTCACTATAATGTTTTCTGGGGTTTCTTGCAGTAAGTTTGCCTTTTATGTGATGCAATATGGTTAATGAGGTTCTTGTAATATTAACACTTTCAATGTAGTCTGCATTCTGTTGTATAATCACATATGCTGTAAGGAACTTTCAGGATATTTGAAACAGAGTTGTGAAGAGTAAATCACAATATTTTGAAAAATAAAATTCTCATTTTTGAGGAAGAATGAAGGAAGAGAAAGAAAAGAAATAACAAGATTGGCTGCTTCTTATGTTATTGAGCGTCAGACCTGTTTCAGGCCTTTCATATTGACTTTCTCATTCAGTTTTTAGGTGAGACTCCGTTATCTCCAGCATCACAAACAAAGCTGGAAGCATTCCCCCTGAAAACCGGCACAAGGCAAAGATGCCTTCTGTCGCCACTCTTATTCAGCATAGCATTGAAAGTTCTGGCAAGAGCAATCGAGCAAGAGAAAAAAATAAAGTGCACCCAAATCAGAAGAGAGGAAGTCCACCTATCTTTGTTTGCAGACAACACGATCCTGTATCTAGAAAACCCCATTGTCTCGGCCTAAACACTTCTTAAAGTAAGTAAGCAGAAAAGTCTCAGGATACAAAATCAATTGCAAAAATCATTAGATTGCCTATACACCAACAACAGTCAAACCAAGAGCCAGATCAGGAACAAACTCCCATTCACAATAAGGTATTTTAATCACAAAAACATTAAAATACCTAGGAATACAGCTAACCCGGATCTCTGCAAGGAGAACTACCCAAACCGCTGGTCAAAGAAATCAGAATGACACAAACAAATGGAAAAACACTCCATGCTCATGGATAGGAAGAATCATTATTGTTAAAATGGCTATATCGCCCAAAGCACTTTAAAGATTCAATGCTATTTCTATTAAACCACCATTGAGATTCTTCACAGAACTGGAAAAAAAAGTTAAAAATTAATATGTAACTAAAAAAGAACCTGAATAACTAAGGCAATGCTAAGCAAAAAGAAGAAAGCTGGAGGCATCACGCTAACTGACTTTGTACTACAGAGCTACAGCAACCAAAACAGCATGGTACTGGTACGGATACACATAGACCAAATGAACAGAATAGAGAATCCAAAAATAATACTGCACACCTACAACAATCTGATCTTTGGAAAACCTGACAAAAACAAGCAATGGGGAAAGGATTCCCTATTCAATAAATAGTGCTGTGATAACTGGCTACCCATAAGCAGAAGATTAAAACTGGACCCCTTCCTAACACCATATACAAAAATTAACTCAAGATGGATTAGAGACTTAAATGTAAAATCTGAGACTAAAAAAACCCTGGAAGACAACCTAAGTAATACCATCCAGAACATAGAAATGGGCAAAGATATCATGATGATGATGATAAAACCAATTGTAACAAAAGCAAAAACTGATAAGTGGGATCTAATTAAACTAAAGAGTTTCTGCACAGCAAAAGAAACATCAACAGAGTAAACAGACAACCTACAGAATGAGAGAAAATGTTTGCAAAATATGCATCTGACAAAGGTCTAATATCCAGCATCTATAAGGAACTTAAATTTACCAAAAAAAAACCCATAAAAAAGTGGGAAAAAGACTAGAACAGACACTTTTCAAAAGACATTCATGTGTCCAATATCATATTTTTTAAAAGAGCTCAATATCACTGATTATTAGAGAAATGCAAACCAAAACCACAATGAGATACCATCTCACATCAGTCAGAATGGCTATTACTTAAAAGTCAGAAAATAAAAGATGCTGGTGAGGTTGTGGAGAAAAAGGAATGCTTATACACTATTGGTAGGAGTGTAAATTAGTTAAACCATTGTGGAAGACAGTGGCGATTCCTCAAAGACTTAAAAACAGAAATACCATTTGACCTAGCAATCCCATTACTAGGTATATACCCAAAGGAATATAAATCATTCTATTATAAAAACACATGCACACATATGTTTATTGCAACACTATTCACAAGAGCAAAGACATGGAATCAACCTAAATGCCCATCAATGATTGATTGGAGAAAGAACACATGCTATATATACACCATGGAAGACTATGCAGCCATAAAAAAGAATGAGATCACATCCTTTGCAGGGACATGGATGGAGGTGGAAGCCATAATCCTAAGCAAACTAATGGAGGAAAAGAATACTAGATACCACATGTTCTCACTTACAAGTGGGAGCTAAATGATGGGAACATGTGGACACATAGAGGGTAGCAACACATACTGGTGCCTGTTAGAGGGTGGAGGGTGAGAGGAGGGAGAGAATCAGGAAAATTATCTAACGGGAACTAGGCTTAATACCTAGATGATAAAATAATCTGTACAACAAACCCCCATGACACAAGTTTAACTATGTAACGAACCTTCACTTGTACCCCTGAACTTAAAATAAAAGTTAAAAAAAAGTGTAGCACTATTGCGTCCAGATTTTGTTTACTGTTGTTGTTGTCATTTTTTAATAGACTGTTTTAAGAATCCTGTATCATCAAGACTCCTGTTGGCACATAGGGCAGTATTGTGTAGGAAGAGCTCATAAATTGATTATCTGAGTTAAAAATAATTAATCTCAGAATACGAAGATGCTTTAGGAAAATTTTATTAATTTAATAGTTTCACATTTTCCTTTTATGATTTCCTAAGAACAATATTTGATACAAATATATGAACAATTAAGTCCCAATCCAAATTTAAAAATAAAATTTATAAATTATAATACAGCACGTTGTCAAATACTAACTAGAAGTGTTATTTTTCTAAAATATATTAAATAATGGTGCATCTTAAAATAATGGTTTATTTGTTTAGATTTAAAGAAATGTGATATTTTGGTCATTTTATTTACTCCTTTACTTCTCAACTGGGTCAAACATTAAGTAGTAAAGAATACTATCCTTTCAATGGTCCCAACACCATTTTTGAGAGGGAAGAAAAGGAACAGAATTCTAAGACTGAGCTTTTACATAAAATTGACTGTTTTAAATGAAAGGAAACTCTTTAAACCTGAAAAGAATCAGGTATGTTTCATTAGCAAGCTTAAGCTGACATACCACCTAATAGGTTCAGGATGTTCACTTAAGAAACATTATACCCATTGCAAGAAATAAAAAAGCTACACTTAATTCATGAATTTTAGTTAATACTCAGTAAATATCCAGCCTGGTTACACCCATTACTGGAGACCAGGACAAAGCGTCTTAGAGTGTGTGAGTTAACCTGCCCAAGGTCACACAGTTAGTGTGAAGAAGCTGAGTTGAACACAGGTACCCTCATTTCAAAGCCTTTGGTCTTCCCACAGTGTCTTTTTTTCCTACACATTCCATTTTTGTTATATAGAGTTTAATTCTGTCTCAACTTGGCAGTCTTTACTTTGGGGCTACCTGAAGTAGGCAAAAGACCAATGAACTCATAATGCTTGAAAGGGATTTTTTTATTATTATTAAAAAATTTTAACTTTTAGAGTATAAGTGAGTGTATACATCTGCAACTATAAGGGGAACTTGGAAGGTTCTTCAATACACACTTGAAATGAATCCATGGTTAATAAGGCTCAGCTTTGAAACTAATGAATATTTAATTAAATGTTTGACTTCATCAAGGAGACTTAGTAAATTGCTGTCAAAAGCGTTATGCCTACTAACATCCTTTCACGGTTATGGAGGTACCTAGAGCTAAAGCACAGACAAGATGATCAAGATTCAGAGGATGTCAATCTGGCAAGGTCTGTAGAGATCACTTCATCTGGGGCTCCCTAACATGTGTTCTGTTCAACACAGTTCCAGATATTATCTAAGAACAGGGGTCTTTTTGTCAAATGAGCAGACAGGGCAATCACTGTAAGACTCACATGGCCTGTCGGCCTCACAAAAGCTCAAAAGTATATATTAAATCTATTTAACTCAGTCTTTTCTAAAACTGATTTTGCCATTTAAAACTGGTCCCTGTGTGTTTCACCACATACCAACAGCCAAAGGAGAAGGTGGTTTTTGTAACATATTTTGGAAAATGCTGATTTAATATGAATAGCACATCATTTTTTGGCAAAAATGAGGAAAACAAAGCCAAAAGATGTTAGGTTACCTAGCCTGGACCATCTAGCAAACTAGTGGTAGAGTGGCTGGGTCCACTACCCAACCCTACTGTTTTTCTGGATTACAAAGATTTCAGAACCTTATATTTGATGAGGTTTCTGATGTGTTGAATTTGATTGAATGGTCTTTAGCGAACTCACGAGTTTTATATTTTTCCTTCTTGTTTTAACATATACCCGAGGAACTGGGTTCTCCTATAATTATGCAAAGCTTCATCTTCACTTAATTTCAACATTTAATCAAATGTTGCTTAGTATCCCTCCCTCAATCATTCCCCAGAGATACTGATTGCTTTACATACATCTCTACCATGAATGTTCTTAATTGTGAAAGAGTTTGAATGGATACAGGTTTTTAATTTGATTTACAAAAATCTCTTAAGTGGTCTTCATTGCCTTTAGTGGAAAGTATCTTTATTTCTTTTCTGTTTGAAGAAGTGTTAATTAAATACTTTGAGTTAATTTAAAATTAACAGTGGATATAATTTGATGTCTTTCTATTGAATCAGCAAGTTCTAAATGAAAACTCTCAGGTCAAGAGGGTTCCTATTTTAGGTGTGGTTAATCTAAGTTAATAGAGCATTTCTGAGAATGAATCATGTGCTATTCTATTATTACATTTTGTACAAAGAAAATATTGAAACAGAATCAAAAATATCAAAACAAAATGAATTGAAAGAGAACTGGCTTTCTCGATTCATTAAGTCATTCAAAAAGTCCAGGGGTACTGTTGGCATTCATGGAACTTGTCATCTGATAGCACTAGACTCACAGAACTGTCAGAGCTGAAAAATCCTTGGAAATAACATTGTTCCATTTCAAAACACTGAGTCCCATAAAAGGGAGTCATGAGTTCTTTGTGGCCCTCTCTCCAGGGTCTCACAGAGCTGCAATCAAGATGTCAGCCCAGCTGTGTTGCTTTCTGGAGGTTAGGGTCCCATTCAAAGTTCACATAGTTGTTAGCAGAATTCCATTTCTTACCGTCATAGAACTCAGGTCCCTGGGTTATTTTTTTGGTTGTTTTGTTTTGTGGGTTTTTTGTTTGTTTGTTTGTTTCTTGTGTTTTTTTTTTTTTTTTTTTTTTTTTTTTTTTTTTTGCTGCCCATCAGCTTTTTGTTTCTCACAGCCATTCATGGTTCCTTGCCACATGGCCCCTAAATGACATAACAGCTTCTTCAAGGGCAGTAGGAGAACCTTTCCCATTCCTCCCTTAATTGCTTACTTGATTCAGGTCTAACCAGAATCATCTGCCTTTTAGACTAATTCACTATCAACTGATTAGGGATCTTAGTTATATCTGCAAAACCCCTTTACCTTTGCCATGTAATATAACCTAATCAGACAGTGACATCTATTACATTTATAATTCCCAGCACAGTCAAGGGGAGAAGATTGTGCAGGGTGTGTTAACTAGGCAGGTGGGGATCTTGGGGCTGTCTTAGAATTCTAACTCTCCACCACACTGCAATAGCTTTCACCTCTTTTCAGAGGCAGACATATGAAGTTTTTGTTGCTTAAATTTCAGGTCTTCTTACTTGCATGGGCCACTGTAGTGTTGGAAATGACTGGGAGTTAGAGAGTGTTCTAGGCAGATAGAAGGAGTTAAGTTTTCATTTTTGTTTTTTTTTTTTTTTGAGACGGAGTCTCTCTCTGTTGCCCAGGCTGGAGTGCAGTGGTGCAATCTCCGCTCACTGCAAGCTCCGCCTCCTGGGTTCAAGCAATTCTCCTGCCTCAGCCTTCTGAGTAGGGACTGCCAGTGTGCGCCACCATGCCCAGCTAATTTTTTGTATTTTTAGTAGAGATGGGGTTTCACCGTGTTAGCCAGGATGGTCTCAATCTCCTGACCTACTGATCTGCCTGCCTCAGCCTCCCAAAGTGCTGAGATTACAGACGTGAGCCACCACGCCTGCCCGGAGTTAAGTTTTTATAAGAACGAATGTCCATATAGGTGTGTCTATGTCAGCATGTCTTGTTCAAGAAGGACCTAAAATCTCAAGTTACTTGTTTTAATTTTTTAAATTCCAAATAAATATACACTTCCTTACCTAATGGTGTATGTGGGTGTCTTCCTAAAGAAGGGCTCCTTTTTGTTAGCTTGTGGTCTCAAAATCCTGGCTCTGCTGCTGCTTCCTGCCACTCACCGTGACTGTTAGTAAAAACACTCGGAACTGTTTCCCATCTTAGAATTCACCAGGATTTGTCAGGTTTATATAACATAGCATAAGTGCTCAAAAATGCCAATACATAAATAAAGGAAAGCAAGAAAAAGAAGCAAAAAGGTAAAAGAGAAAACAATTTGTTTTTTGTTTGTTTGTTTGTTGTTTGTTTGTTTTGAGACAGGGTGTCTTCCTCTGTTGCTAGGCTGGAATGCAGTGGCACAATCACAGCTCGGTGAAGCCTCAACCTCTCTGGCTCAGGAGAACCTCCCATCTCTTCCTTCCTAGTAGCTGGGACTACAAGTGTGCACCAACGTGCCCAGATAAAATTTTGTTGTTGTTGTAGAGATGGGGTCGTGCCATGTTGCCCAGACTGGTCTTGAAATCCTGGGCTCAAGAGATTATTGCACCTCAGCCACCTAAAGTGCTGGGATTACAGGCATGAGCCACCATGCCCAGCTTACAATTTGCAAATCAGAAATTATTCTTTCCGTCTTGCAGCTACAAAACCTGAAGCGCAGAAGATACATATGTTATGTGTAGAATCACACAACTTGATGATACAAAATGGAACTAAATTCAAGTTTCTTTACAGGAAGTCTAGTTTCTTTCTATCATTGAGTTAATGTGACTCCTCACTAAATACACATCCCATGAGGTATTAATTCCTAATTGCTTGCAGAGGGTATATCAGCATAATGAGAAAATCTGTATTCTAGGTACACAGAGTAACATGGTACACAAATCTCATATTGTAATTCTAAATCCAGGGATCTCTGAGTTGTGCAGAGAGGCCCATAAGTCACCACCAGTCAATAATTGCCCTGAAAATATTACCCTAAAAAGCAGGGAATCTAAGGTAAAAAGGATAATAAGAAAAATAGACTGTGGCATGGCAGCTAAGTAGTCAGGTTTAGAAGTCAGATTGACAGGGAGAAGTGTGAATCTACTATTATCTTGGGCAAATCAAGCATATTTCTTTTCTGTAAAATAGAGATAATAATATTTCCTACCTCTTGAAACTGTTGTGCAGATTAATTTACATAATGCATGTGAAGTTCTCAGTATCTGAGTTCTAAAGTACCAGGAATAGCTCTCCATCAGTCTTAACTACAGATTGGCCCAAGCACACCTGTATAAACTGTAACCTAACCCTAAACTTTAACCCTAAACCTAACTCTAACTCTAACCCTAACACTAACCCTAACCCTAACCCTAAATTTTAACCCTAAACCTAACTCTAACTCTAACCCTAACACTAACACTAACCCTAACCTTATCCCTAACCCTAACCAATACTATTGTTGGATCTGTATAAAGGCTTCATTCCCATGCAACCTCCTATGAGTGCTTTCTGGATGGTTTAGCACTCTAGTTTGTCCCAGTGCCTAAAATGGACAAAAATTTGCAATGCAGCATTGTATGTGTAAATTATTTTATTGGAATTTGCTTATGTTTCAAGAATGGATAGTTTGATATATTTTTACAACTAAAAACATACATATAACTAGCACCCTAGACAGCTCTTGTGTTCCCATCCAGTCTCTATTCCCAGCCCTCACCCAGGGCTAACTTCTGTTCTGACTTCCAACAACATAAATTAGGTTAGCTCATTTTGAATTTAATATAAAATTGATTCTTATTGTATGTTCTCTATTTTGTCTGATGTTTCCCCCAATATTAATTTTGTGTAATCTACATTTGCAAATGTAATTGGTGATCACCTTGCTCTCACTGCTTTATAGTATTCTGTTGTGTGAACATACAACTAATTTATTCATTTACTATTGGGCATTCATATAGGTTTTGATTTGTGGCACTTATGAACAGGGTTTCAATAAACATTCTAGGATGTGAATATTGGCAAATACACATATACATTCTGTTGATATATCTAAAATTGGATTGCTGAGGGTATATATGGGTTCACCTATAGTATATATTGTCAAATAGTTCTCAAGATGGCTGTACCAAATTACACCCCCACCATTAGAGTAGGAGAGTTCTGGTTCATCCAGTTGCCAACACTTGGTATTTTCCATCTTGTTCATCTTAGCTATATTCTGGTGAGTACATATTAGTATAGCATTTTTTTTTTTTTTGTAATTTACATTACCTGGTGACTAATGAACTTGAGTACTTTTTCATGTGTTTTAATATCTATTTGGATATCCTTGTTTTTGAAGTACCCAAGTCCTTTGCTCATTTTTTCCATTGCCTTGTCTGCCATTTTCCTATTGATTTATAGACATTGTTTATATAGCCTAGATATAAGTTATTTGTCAGATATATGTATTATAAATATCTTCTTCTAGTCTATTTTTTTGCTTTCCTGATAACTAGATGTTCTTAATTGTAATATATGGTGACATTTATCAAATTTTAAAAATTTTTATGGGTTCTATTAGCTCTGTTACAAGTAACTTCTTCTTTCCTTTCCCAAATAGTAGGAGTGCATCAAAGTTCAAACAGTATAATTATGGAATGTAATTTTATTGCTGTCATACCAGGCCTGTGTTTCCCTTTGGTCTACTGGAGGCCTGAACTGATTTATCTTCCCTTAAGTTACCCAAAGTCTCTCTTATTTTACCATTTTCTTCAAAATTAATTCTAACCATTAACATGTATAGGAGAATCATCAGCTTTAGCAGGGTAAAATAGCATCACTTAGTAATTTAGAAAGAGAGTGGGGTAGACAATAAGGCAGATGATAGGGAGAAACAGTATATTTTGAAAGGGCTGGGAAGTTGTAAATCATATCTGTATAAATGTAATTGAAGTTAAGTAGTTAAGTAGCATATTAAGAAACTTGACCTATGCGCATGGTATTTAAGAAACTTGACCTATGCATATGATATTTAAGAAACTTGACCTATGTGTACATACAGGATTGACACTGTGACCTACACATTCATTTATTAGCTACCTACTATTTTATATTATTCTGATAGTTTTGCCTAATATATATTTGAGTATTCATTGGATTTACGTTTGTCCAAATAAAGAACTGAAACTTATTTCAGCCTAAAAAATTATTACCCACATCATTCTACTATAGAAGGCACACAGTCGTTTCTGCGAATGATCTCAAAATGAAGTGGGTAAAATAAATCTCTACAAACCTGACACGAACATTTTGCAGCATTGTAAAAAGCAGTGTTTGTTTCACCCAGTATTCTTGGAACATAGGGACATTGAACATTAGGAGGAGAACATCTTGACAATAAGAGGTGCCTGGAGCTAGGTCTCAAAGAATGAGAACTTCTCCAGGTAGAAAAAATACGGTAGCTTGTTCGTTAAAAAAAAAAAAAAAAAGTCACCTCACCAAAAATAACCCAGAAGACAGCTCAAATAAAGTCCTATACTTACTTAAACCACCACTTCAGGCAATGGGGTTTGTGAGCTTTGGACACAATCACACATAATTCATGGAAAAACCTGCAGTTTTAGACAAAAGGAGAGAAAGAAGGTTTTGCTGTCTTGTCTGTCTTTGGTGCATACAGACCATGAGATATCTCGGAGAATCCTTGGAGGAAAATAATGCACAGGGTAATCTTAGCAGCACAGCTGATGGGCCCTGTAGGCAATATCTGAGGTGAGAAGTTAGACTCCAAGACCAGGCATCAGATTCTTCATAGGGCATAGTCTGGTCTTAGACACTATCTTGGACAAATGAATAACTGTATGTAAAATCTGCCCCAAAGGCTGAAACTTTTCATTTATATATCTGGTCCCTTAAAAATACTCAAACATGCCCTTGTTAACTGCTATCCAATCTAAACATCATGCAAGCCACACATAAAATGTTAAATGTTTTAGTAGCCATATTAAAAAAATAAAAAGAAACAGGGAAAATCAATTTTAATAAGATATTTTATTTAACCCAATAGGACTGAAATATCATTTCAATATAGAAGTTATTAATGGGAATATTTTACATTATATTTTTAAATATGGAGTAAGTCTTCTAAATGAAGTATGTATTTTACACTTTAAAACACATCTCATTTTGGGCTAGACACATTTCATATGCTCAATAACCACATGTGTTTAGTAGCTACTATATTGAACAATGAGAATGATTTTAAAAGAGTATTAAAAATTGAGCTTAAAGCTATTTACGTCATTTAAGGAATACCTTCGAAATTACCTACTTTATTTTAGAATAAGTTTAGGTTTACAGAATTTGCAAAATTAGTACAGAGTATAATCTGTACCCAGTTTTCTCTTGTTAACCTCATCTATTAATATAGCACATTTGCCACAATTAACAGGCCAATATTAATATCACTGTTAACTAAACTCCATTATTTATTCAGACTTCTATTCATTTTTCCAAAATGTTCTTTTCTTGTTCCAGGATTTTCTTCAGGACAACACAATCCATTTAGTTGTCACGTCTCCTTAGGCTTCTCTGGGATACAGCAACTTCTCAGATTTTCCTTGATGATTTTGACAGTTTTAAAGGCTACCAGTCAAGCATTTTATAGACTATTCCCTCATTTAGGTTTGTCTGATGTTTTTTTCTTATGGTTAGGCTGGGATTATGGGTTCTGGAAAAGAAGACCACTCCCCAAAGCTGAATATCATTTTCAACATATATCAAGGGCAAATGCTATTAATGTGGCATCATTAACACTGCTAGCCTTACTCAACTCTCTAAGATATCACTTGCAAGATCCTCCACTGTAAAATTATCCTCCTGCCTACTCCATCTGCCACACCACTTTCCCTGTTGTTCTCTCTGTAAGCAAGTCACTTAGCATAGCTCATCATTAAGGGGTAGAGAAAAAGTAATTATATAAATTATTTTAAATTCTTCTGTATGAGAGAATTGTCTCTTCCCCCCCATTTATTTTTATTAGTGTAGACTTTATACTCTGAGGTATAGACCCCTTCAATATTACTTATTTTGTTGCTCAAATTGTTCTAGCTTGGGCCACTGGGAGCTCTTCCAGCTGGTTTCTGTGGATATATACTCATAATTTTGTTTTTTGACCAATTCCTTAGTTTCTGACACTAGGAGACGATCCAGGTATATCTTGCAAATCCCATGCCCTGTCTCTAAAATCAGCTATTTCTTTAAGGAGCTTTGGTTCCTTTTATTGGAGAACGGTGTTAAAAACTATCTTGGTGCTAGGTCATATTATCATTCATTCACTCATTCATTTATTCATTCCTTCATTCATTCATTCAGTGACAGGGTCTGGATCTGTTGCCCAGGCTGAAGTACAGTGGAGTGATCTCAGCTCACTGCAACCTCTACCTCCTGGGCTCAAGTCAACCTCTCACTTCAGCCTCCCAAGTAGCTGGGACTACCGTAGGTGCATGCAACAAAGCCCAGCTAATTTTTGTATTTTTAGTAGAGACAGGGCTTTTCCATGTTGCCCAGGCTGTTCTTGAACTCCTGAGTTCAAGGCATCCCCCCATCTCGGCCTCCCAAAGTGAGCCACTATGCCCAGCCCATATTGTCTTTTGATGAAAGAGCTCTGCCTTCTATAAATATATAGACTACCAAACAATTTGATGAGTTCAGTATTTCAGGTCTAGTTTTGGTTTGATACCCCTTAGGCCTACACCTTTCAACCCCCATCTCTCATTCCTTGTGTGTGCCACACAGGGACTAGCTCTAGGCTAGTCTTTCACACTGAACTCCTTTGTTAATATGAAGATTGCCAGGTGTTTTCATGCATTAATGCCTAATTGAGAACCTTCTCTGAAGCATTCAGAAAAAATGAAAGAGAATTGAAAATGGAGAGCTTTCTAGTGAAATTTTACATCAAGAAATCATCTCGTAGGTTTATCAATCCATGTGGAATGTTTCTCTTCGATTTGAAAAGAAGAGCTAGATGTGGAGACCTATACAAGCACATGGCATCAAGAACCACACCCACAGTTTATTCTAAATAGTGTTACTTGCCAGGTACTGGTTAATTAATTTGCACCATGATCTCATTTAATCCTTAAAAAAAAATCCCCATACACAGGTGCTAGTACTATTGTTTCTACTCAACAGTTGAGGAAACTGAACCTGAAAGACTAACTTGCCCATAGCCAGCCTCTACAGACTGAATGAGGTGAAGCCCGGGGTCCTAATCTCTCTGACCTTGGTTAAGCTCACTTATCTGATTTCACTTTAACCACTGTACAAAATAGGTTGTAATAAAGCCAGTCTTCTCAGACTATCCTGCTTCATAGCCTATTAAAGGGAATTCTGTCTGTGCTTGGTAAACAAGGTTTTACATGTAATTTTAAAAATAAGCAATATTTGTTTTCAGAATACTCTTAAATTGTGGCTCAGCAGTGCAATCACCATAAACATGGCTGAAAATTTTAACTACACTTATCTGTATGAAGAATCATGAGAAGTCCTGGCGTGGTGGCTCACGCCTATAATCCTAGCACTTTGGAAAGCAAAAGGTGGGTGGATCACTCTGAGCTCAGGAGTTTGAGACCAGCCTGGACAACATGGTGAAACCCCACCTCTATCAAAAATACAAAAATTAGCTGGGCATGGTGGTGCATGCCTGTAGTCCCAGCTACTTGGAAGGCTGAGGCATGAGAATTGCTTGAACCTGGGAGGCATAGGTTACAGATCACACTACTACACTCCAGCAAGGGCAACAGAGCAAGACCCTGTCTCAAAAAAAAAAAAAAAAAAAGAAAGAAATCATGAGAAGAGAGGGCATGAGAGCATACTCAATGGAAAATACTCTGGGAAATTGTGTTATTGAATAATGCAATATGTATTTGTTTTCACAATTTGATTTTATATTTGGATCTTGATATAAATATGCAGATTTGGTTAGTAATAGAACTGTAGTAAAAAATTTCCACTAACAAATATTTTTGTACTTTTTAAAGATTTTAACTTAGAAAGCAACATTGTATAATGGAAAACACATAGGTTTCAGAACCAGAGTGAATATGAATCAAATCCAGATTCTACCACTTATTAACTGAATGACTTAAGAAAGCTTCTTAAATATTTTGTGCCCCAGTTACCTCATTGATATAATAATAGAAGATTGTTAAAAAGAGCATAATAAAGGATTGTTATGAAGGCCAGACAAAATAGCACACATGAAGTACATGGCCCACAGTTAATCTCACTATGTCACAATACGTCCAGCTACGCCATAGTGATAACTTATGATATACAAAACGATAATGCACACAGTAGAGATTGCTGAGTTAATGGTGGTTTGGATGCATGATGTCATGTGATCCTCACTGAAATTCTTTGAGGAGTGTATTGCTGTTATGTTCCTGTTACTATATTATAGTTGCTGTTATCTTGTTGTTAATTACAAATAAGAAAAACAGACAGGAATGCAAAAAAGTTTGTCAAAGAGCTCCAGTCAAGGAAGTCAGTATTTGAATCTAGTATTGTCTGAGAGCAATGTATGCATTTTAATTCTCTACTACTTATTTCTACCTGTGAGTTCAATGAACAATAAGACAGGGTCTAACCTATTCCTATTGTAACCTAACATCCTGCTTAATGCATGATGATACTCAGTAGGCTCAATAAATAACTGGTAAACTAATGAATGAGAACTTCTCTCTCTAGGACTAATAAAATTTCACCAAATTAGAGTGAAATTTCTTTCTGTTTTTTTTTTTTTTTTTTTTTTTTTGAGACAGAGTCTCGCTCTGTCGTCCAGGCTGGAGTGCAATGGTGCGATCTTGGCTCACTGCAACCTCTGCCTCTTGGGTTCAAGTGATTCTCCTGCCTCAGCCTATTGAGTAGCTGGGATTACAGGTGCGCACCACCACACCCGGCTAATTTTTGTATTTTTAGTAGAGACAAGATTTCACCATGTTGGTCCAGCTGGTCTCGAACCCCTGACCTCGTGATCTGCCTGCCTCACCTTCTCAAAGTGCTGGGATTGCAGGCGTGAGCCACCAAGCCCGGCCAAAATTTCTTAATTCTCAGGCCCAGCTTTATTCTCTTTTCTTCCTTGCTGGCAAAAATGATTTTTTAACAGGACTAAAACACTCATTGCTCATTCTTTTGTATAAAAACTACATAAGCAGCCTCCAAACCCATCCAACTTAGAATAAAAAGAGTAAGTGACAAGTGTATTATTAAAGTTTTGATTAGTACTATTAGCCAAGGTCCAAAGAGGGTTTTTTGTTTGATAGTTTCAAAAAATCAAAAAGGCACATTTAATGTAGGTTCCTATGCATTTGCCACAAAGTGAATGACTGACACTTCAGATTGTCAAAATGTCAAATTCCTTTAAAGGCTTCCAAACCGAATGGTGTAGAGGCAACTGCTTTTTATATAGACAGACTGCTAATTTTGGAGTTTAACCTATTCTTTGCTGAATTAATTTAGGTTAGCATTCTTGATTTGTACTCTCGCTACGCTTAGAAACAATCTTAATCAGGGTTAGATTAGCAATGCTGTCTGTGAACCAATGTGGAGCACTATGCCCAGATGTGGCATCATGGCCTGTCAAATTCATTGTCCTCAAGCAAGAAAGAGAATTGTCATTCTCATCACTTTCTGACACAGCTTGGGAGGTGATCTTACAATTTGACTCATGTTTTCAAATAAAGAGGTGTGAACTTGATCCATGAGTGGTACTGCATGGTTCAGCCATGTGAAGGTAGAACCTGTTCTGCTTCCATTTAGAACCCTCACAGTAGGCCCTGTTCCATTCAGAACAGTCACAGCAGGTAACACTTGGCCCACATTCTAATTTGAGGAAAATCCAGAAAATTCTTATTTATGAGTCTTCATCACCACTAAGCTTTGGAATGAGATTTGCATCCAGGTGGGATAGGGGAAGTGTATCTAAAAGAAAAACAGGCTTTGAAATCAAATAGATTTTTGTTAAGTCACTGTTCTGTCACTTAGAAGCTTGTATGCCAATGAGGACCAATTCATTTTAATGGCTATAAAATAAGTTGCTAACACCAACAGTTTTCCAAATGTATGTTAATTGGTTTTACCAGAAATCCTGCAAAAATTACTTGAAACATTTGTTGCAATTTCATTACCATGTTAAAATGTGTGTGTGTGTGTGTGTGTGTGTGTGTGTGTGTGTGTGCATGTGTGAGAGAGAGAGAGAGGCAGGGAGAGAGAGTTGCCAGTGGTTCCCCTTCATGGCTGTCATTTATGTTCCTAAAATGCAAATCATGTCACTAGCCTGCCACAGTAGTCCCCTTTTATATGTGATTTTTCTTTCTGGGGTTTCAATCATCTGAGGTCAACTGAGGTTCAAAACTATTAAATAAAAAAATTACAGAAATAAGCAATTCGTAAGTTTTAAAGTGCACACCATTCTGAATAGCATGATGAAATCTCTCAGCATCTCACTTTGCCATCCCACCCAGGATGTGAATCAACCCTTTCTCCAGCATATTCAGGCCATTGACTCTGCCTGCCTATTATTAATAGTCACTTAGTAGCCATCTGGGTTATCAGATCAACTGTCACGGTATCACAGTGCTTGTGTTCAAGAAACCCTTGCTTTACCTCATAATAGCACCAAAGTGCAAGAATAGTGATGCTGGCAATTCAAATATGCCAAAGAGAAGCCAAAAAGTGCTTCCTTTCACAGAAATGATGAAAGTTCTCAACTTAATAAAGAGAAAAAATCATATTTTGAGGTTGTTTTATATATGCATATAACAATCGTAACAGTATATGTATTTATAATTGTTCCATTTTATTATTAGTGTTAATCTCTTACTGTGCTAAATTTATAAATTAAACTCTCTCATAGTATGTAGATATAGGAAAAAACACAGTATATGTAGGGTTCGGTACTATCTGTGGCTTCAGACATCCACTGGCAGTCTTGGAATGTAACCTTTGCAAATAACGGGGAAAGACTCTAACAGCCAGCCTTCAAAGGCACTTCCCTGCCAGCGGATTATAGTCCAAGGCCCTGAGGAGGCTGGGGAAAAGCATTATATGCCACTCTTGCTTTGGCTCCTATCACTGCCCGTTTCAGTCTCGCATAAACACACTCACACTATGCACCATGAAACCATCACCAATATTAAGACAATGAATATATCCATCATTTCCAAATGTTTCTCCTTTACTTTCTTTTTCCTGCCCGGCCCTGATTCCCTAGGTATCTATTGATTTGTTTTCTGTCGCTATAGATTAGTTTGCATTTTCTAGTGTTGCATAAAAATGGAAATCATACAGTTGTTCTTTCTTTGAAATCTGGCTTCTTTCTATCAGTGTAATTATTATGAGATTCTCCTATATTGTTGCATATATCAGTAGTTCATTCATTTTTATTGTATGATTCTATTGTATGGCTATACCACTGCTTATAGATTCAATTTACCTATTAATGGATATTTAGGTTGTTTCCAATTGGGGGGCATTACAAATAATGGTTCTATAAGGAATCATCTATAAGTCTTCTATACATGTATCATTTAATTCACTTGAATAAATTCTTAAGACTGGAAGAACAGGGTCATATGGAAGGTGTGTTTAACTTTTTAAGAAACTGCCAAAATATTGTCCCAAGAATTTGTATTATTTTACATGTCAACAAGCAGTACATGAGAATTTCAAATGCTCCACATCCTTGTTGGCACACAGTATGGTCATTCTTTTTAATTTTAGACATTGCGATAGTTGTGTTCAGTCCTCTGCTGTGGTTTCAATTTAAATTTCTCTGATGATTATGAGGAAATACTTATTTGCCATCCATATGTATTCTGCGGTGAAGTATCCATAAGAAATCGTTTGTCTACTTATTATTATTATCATTTCTTAACAACATATTTGAAGAGCTCTTTTATGCATTCCAGAAAAAAATCAATTACCAGATAATTGATTTGCACACATTTTTTCAAATCTATGGTTTTTAAATAGTATCTTAGTAGTTTATTTTAAAGAGCAAAAATAATTATTTGTGGTGAAGTCTAATTCATCAATATTTTCTTAACGCAGATTATGCTTTCATTGTTGTGTCTAAGAAATTGTTGCCTAATTCGAGGGCGTAAAGACGTTTTTCTATGTTTTCTTCTAGAAGTTTTACAGTTTTACATTTCACATTTATATAAAGGATCTATCTTGAGTTAATTCTTGTGTACAGTCAGAGGTATGGATCCACATTCACATTTGTTGCATACGAATATCCAATTGTTTCAAAAACATTTGTTGAAAAGGCTATCTTTTTTTCACTGAATTGCTTATGTCAAAAATTGATTGTTCATTAATGTATGGATCTACTTCTGTGGATTTCTATTCTGTTCCCTTGATCTATATGTCTATCTTTATGCCAACACCACACTGTTATGTTCCTGTAACATATAATAAGACATGAAGTCAGTCAGTGTAATTCCTCCAAGTTTCCACTTCTTTTTCATCTGTTTCAGCTATTCTAGGTACCTCTTATTGCCATATGAGTCTTAGGATCAGCTTGATAATTTTTACCAAAAAAAAAAATCTAATGGGATTTTTATTGAAATTTCATTGCATCTGTAGATACATTTCAGAAGGATTAAAATCTTAATATTGACTTTTACAATTCATGACCACAGATTATCTCTCCACTTAAGTTTTTTTTAAAAAATCTTCCAATAATGCTTTTTGTTTTCAGTACACAAGTCTTAACACACCTTCCATCATGTCATATTTATCCCAAAGTTTTCCACATTTTAATACAATTTTAAATGGTATTTTAAAAAATCCATTTCAGTTTTCAATTGTATCCTGACACCTTGCTGAACTTATTTCTTAGCTTTAATAGCTATTTTGTAGTCTCCATAAAATTCTCTGCACAGTCAATCATGTCAACTGCAATTTTAACTTTTCCATTCTAATCTGGATTCTCTCTCATGCACTCTCTCTCTCTCCTCCCTCCCTACCTTCCTTCTTTTTCTTCCTTCTCCTCCCTTCCCTTTTCTTCCACTGCACTCTCCTTCATCTTCCATTTCTTCCCCTCCCTTCCCTCCCTCTCTTCCTTCCGTACTTTCTCTCATTGTTTTGATTTAAAACCTTTAGCAGAAGTTTGAATACAAGTGGTGAAGGCAGATATCCTTACTTTGTTCTTGATCTTAGCCTTTCATTCAGTCTTTCACCATTTTCTTGCCTTTAAAGTTCGCTTCTAGTGTCAATTTAATAAGAGTTTTTATCAGGAAAGTAAGTTGAATTTTTAAAATATTTTTTCTTTCTCTATTTAGATGATGACATGGATTACTTTTTAATGAGTTAATATAATAAGTTACATTTAAGGATTTTCATATGTTAAGTCTACCATGCATTCCCATAATAAATCCTAATTGTTCAGCCTGTATTATGCATTTTATATATTGTTGAATGAAATGTACTAAAATTCTATTAAGATTTTTTGCATGTATGTTCATGAGGAATATTAGCCTGTAGCAATGTTTTTGTCTGGTTTAGGTATCAAGGTAATGTTGATCAGAAATAATTAGTTGGGAAATGTAGCTCTTTTTCAATTTTCTACAATAATTTGCATAGAAGTGATACTATTTCTCTTTTAAATCTTCAGTGAAATTCACAGGTAAAGTCATCTTGACCTAGGAATGTCTTTACGGGAAGCTTATTAACTATAAATTCAATTTATTTAATAGTTATAGGGTCACTCAATTTATCTATTTTTTCTTGAGTGAGTATATTGGTTATGGTACCCATAGAGAACTAATATACTCACTCAAGAAAAAATAGATAAATTGAGTATCACTTCTATTAGGTATATATTGAGCTTTAAATCTATCTTCATGCTTTTTTTAAAATTATTGGTCCCATATTCTTTTTAGTCTTTTCCTGTTTATTCTGCCTTATTTTAGATTAACTATATTTTTTCAAATTCCTTTTTACCTTCTTTTTTTAGCTATACCTCTTTGTTTTATTATTCTGGTAATTGTTTTAAGCTTTATAGTATACATCTTTAATTTATTACAGTCTACTTTCAAGTGCTATAATAACATTTCCTATATGGTATATGAATCTTACAATAATATACTTTAATTTCTCCCCTCCTGGACTTTTGTTATTACTGTTAAACATGTTAGTTCTACATATGTTATAAAACCCAAAATACTTACTTAATTTGTTAATATTTTTGCTTTAAGCAATCAATTATCTTTTAAATATATTTTAATTAAAGACTATTTTAATATTCAGCCATGTATTTACCATTTCGGGTGTTCTGTATTACTTTCTGTGGATGTGTGCACTAACAATTTTTTATTTTTAAATACAAACACTGTACCCACAAGTTAAATATACGAAACTCATCTTTCCATGTCATGACTTAAAGTTTTGGGTTTTTCTACAATTGGTTTATTGAAATATAATTTGCATGTGATGCAATTCACCTATTTAAAGCACATAATTCAGATTTTTAGTATATTCGCAGAGTTGCACAACCATCACCACAATCTAATTATAGGATATATTTAGCACCAAAAAGGAAGCCGTGTACCCTTTTTCAGTCATTCCTTCTTTTCTCTCAGTTCTCCTTTTACCTGCTTCTAGGCAAACACTAATCTACTTTCCGTCTCTGTAGATTCATCTATTCTGGATATTTTATTAAATGGAATATGAACATATTGGTGTTTTGCCATCTTTTCTGACTGGCTTCTTTTACTTAACATGTTTTCAAGATTCCTCCATGTCGTAGCATGTATCAATACTTTATTCTTTTTTATTGCTGGATAATATTCTATTGTATGAATATACTACATTTTGTCTACACATTCATCAGTTGATAAACATTGAGTTGTTTCCACATTTTGGCTATTGTGAGTACTGCTATAATGAACATTTAAGTGCAGGTTTTGGAATAAAGTTATGTTTTCAGTTCCCTTGGGTATATAACGAGGAGTACATTTGCTGAGTCATATCATAATTCTGTTTATCATTTTGAGGAACTGCCAAAGTGCTTTCCAAAGTGGCTGCATCATTCTACATTCCCTGCCAGCAGTACATCATGATTCCAATTTGTACACATACTTGCCAACACTTGTTTTTTATTACAGCCATCCTAGTGGGTGTGAGGTAAAGTCACAGTGTTGTTCTGATTTGTATTTCCCTAGTAGATAATGATGTGTGATTTTCTCACATGTTTATTGAATGTGTGAGTACCACCTTTAGAGAAATATCAGGTTCTTTGCCCATTTAAAAAAATTTGGTGATTCATCTTTTTTATTGTTGAGATATAACGGTCATTTATACATTCTTAATACAAGTCCCTTATCAGATATGTGATTTACAAATATTTTCTCTTATCCAGTGGGTTTTAACTTTATTGATAACATGAATTATAGCATTTCTTTTATTGTGGGAATGTCCTATTTACCTACTTTTCCTTTTGTCACTTATACTTCTGGTATTGTATCTACTTAGCAAATACTTTATACAAGCCAATGGCCTAAGCCCTAGGGTATATATACAATCAAAAAAGAGATGTATGTAGTTCCTGCTTTATGTAGATTAAATTTAGTGGGATGCCCAAGCATTTATTTAAAATAACACATAAACACACAATTGCAAACTAATTAGTTCTATGAAGGAGAAAGCAGAGAGCTATGAGGAAGTATAATAGGAACTAAATCTAATCAATGTGTACATGTGTGCATTTGTGTGTGTGTGTGTGTTTCAGTAGAGAGTTGTCAAGAAAGTGTTTCCTGATGAAGCAATGATTGAATTGAGATCTGTAAGACCAAAAGAGGAAAGGGCAATGAAGAAAGCTTTCTAGGAAAAAAGGACCTGAGCAGACATGTCACCTATAGAAACTGAAACGAAAAGTATGGAGTTGCAGAGAGAGCAGGGGTGAGAGAAGATCAGATGAGGCTACAGAAGTAAGCAGGGATAACAGCATGGAGCATCTTTTAAACCATGCTAAGGATTTTAATATTTTCCCTAAGAGCAAGGGAAAGTGATTGGAGGGTTAATCGCTTTGGCTACAGTCTAGAAAATAGACTGTGAAGAGAATAAGTGTTAGTGAGCTGGCCAGTTAGGAGACAATCATTCAGGCAATGGCGATGATGGTGGCATGGAGTATGGTAATAGTAGTAGAGGTGAAGCAAAGGAAATAAACTGGAGGGATACTTGCTTAGAAGAATGAACAAGCCTAGATCTTGAATAAGATATGGGACTTTGCACACTGGATTGATTGCCACATTTGTCCTAGAAGGAAGAAGGTGTACTCTGAGCCTCAAGTATTAAAGTTACCTGATCTAGTTCTCAAACAAACACTTAGCTGTCCCTCAATAAGATTTAGTACTTGAATTTCTTGCTTTGTTTGGCTTCCAGATCTGATATTATTAACTTATTTTTATCTTTTCACCTACATACAGGCTCTATATCACCCTTCAGATGCAATATTTGATATAAATCTTCAAGTGCTGATATTACAACCACTTCTCTGCTAAATTCTGCGCATTTATCTCCTTATAAATTTTTTTTCTTCTGGCAGCCAATAGTACAACCTGTCTAGTCAAGTTCAATCTTCCAGAACTTTACTAGGCACTAAACTATGTGACTGACTTTCTTACAAGCAACACCCTAGAATGTGGAGTGAGCAAGGAGAATTTGCCCTCTCTGACCATTCACTGCAAACCAAACTCTAGTACAGATAAACCAGGTCTATAATTGACATGTAATCTTCACCGCTCAGGAACTGAGATGCTTCAACAGTGGGAACATTCTTCATGTTCACAATGTCTCCTTATCCTATATTTTCCTAATCAGACCACCTATTCACCACACCCTCTGCAGAACACAATAAGAAACGTAATGTTTCTTTCATACATAAAAATTGATAAACTTCTTCCTAGATGCTTAAGCTTTCAGGAACATGGTATATAATTACCCTCTCCTCCTATAATTCCCTATATTATGGCTCCAACATTTGCAGTGCATATTCTTGTAATTGCTCCTATATGTAATTACATTTACATAAAACTTACATAATTTTGCCTGCATTATAAGGTGATGATTAATTTTTCAGAAACTTTTTTGAGGCCCCCAAATAGGATACACTGGAGCTATATTTATTTCTTACATGAAATGCTAAAGAAAGGAAAAGCATATACATATATATTAGCCTGTCACAGTTAGGCTAGTATTCAGAAATTTGGAAATTGATATTCAAATAGATGTAAGTAGAATGGAAATGAGTAGAAAAGGCATACTCATGTCCGAGTGTCAAATTATTATTTCCATGTAACATCAAGAAACGTGTAACATCAAAAGATATATATTATATACTAAGTATAATAAAAATCAAAGCACTCCATAATGACAATAAAAATCAAACGAAAGAATTTTCCCCTAAAGTTGCAAATATTCCACTCCATTTATGTGTGAAAGCCACTGGGCTTCAATACATTAAGGCTTTGGATTCAACTGCATCTGGGTTCAAATCCTAGACCTGCAGCTTTTAACTGAGCAATTTTGGACAAGTTATTTAGTTTCTCTGAGTTGAATTTTACCATGGGTAAAGTTGGGATAATAATACATACATCACAGCATTGCTATAGGATTAAGTAAGATAGCTAATAGAAATTAAAGAGTGCTTGCTCTACAGTAGGTGATCAGCGAATTTTAGTTTCATTCCCTATCAGTTCTTTTCTTTATAGAATTTTATGGTTCTTCCTGGTGTGTTTTGGCTGTTGGTAGGCAAGACAAGTAACCAAAATTATTTTACATGTGGAGCTAATTAAAAGAAAAAAAGCAATGGTTTCAAAACGTCGTGAAATATCAGAATCACCTGGAGATTTTGTTAAAGCATACATTGCTGGGTCCCACCACTAGAGTTTTTGATTCAGTAGGTCTGGGGTCGGCCCAAGAATTTGTAGTTCTAAAAAGTGATACATTGCTAGTTGTGGACCACAGTTGGAGAACTGTTGCTGTAATACACGTGCAACAACCAAAACAAGATAATGGGGGTGGGGAGGATTAGGCGGATCATGGCAGACGGGAGGCAGGACTAGATCACAGCTCTGACTCGGACAGAGCAGCGTGTGGAGGCTCGCGTCATGAATCTTTGCTTCAAAACAACTGCAGGAATAAAATCAGGAAACCCAAGAGAACCCACAGACCCTCTGAAGGAAGCAGATTGCTCCTGCAGGACAAAGGAGACACCCCAAACACGGTGAGTGCCCAAACTGTGGAAATGGGAAAGAGAGATCATCTGCCCCTGAACACACACCCTCACTGGGGAAACTGAAGGTCTAGATTACAAGACAAGATTCTGACCTTACCTGGAGCTGAGTCAATTTAGAGAGCCAATTGAAATACAGGGGTAGAGGAAGCAGTGGGAAAAGCTCTGTGAGCTTGCTGGGTCCCCTACCAAACCATTTCTGCCTGGCCTCATAGGGGTCCTTTGGGCGGGTGGACAGAGGCATTGGGAAAAGGCCAGAGGGAGAAGGAAATCTCCAGCTGAACTTTGTAACAATTAGAACTGATCAAGAAGTCTCCTGGCCAGAACTCAGGGAAGGGCATGAATCTGGTGTGCAGAGTCCATAGGCGGGGGAAAAAGGAAATCCATACTTGCTTTTGCAACTGAGAGGCAGGTAGCTTGGGGCAAGTTCTCAGCCCTGCTTGCCCACTGCCTGGAAACAGACTCGGTGCTATTGGGGGTGGGGACATGGTGGGAGTGAGACTGGGCCTTCAGATTCCGTGGGAGCTGGGCGAGGCCTGTGACTGCTGGCTTTCTCCCACCTCGCTGACAACCTGCATGACACAGTAGAGATAACCATAATCCTCTTAGGAACATAACTCCACTGACCTGGGAACCTCATCTCCATTGCCCACAGTAGCCGCAGCAAGACCTGCCCAAGGGAAGTCTGAGCTCAGACATGCCTAGCCCTGCTCCCACCCAGTGGTCCTTCCCTACTCACCTGTAACTGAAGACAAAATGTGTATACTCTTGGAAGTTTTAGGGCCCCACCCACCTCCTGTTCCTCCCCATACTACCATAGCTGATGCTCTCTGGAAAGTGCTACCTCCTGGCAGGAAGCCAACCAGCAAAAAATAGTCCATTAAACCACCAAAGCTAAGAAATCTAAAAGAGTCCATTTCGCCACCCCACCAGCTCCATCAGAACAGTTGCTGGTATCCATGGCTGAGAGACCCACAGATGGTTCACATCACAGGACTGTCTGCAGACAACCCCCAGTACCAGCCTGGAGCCTGGTAGACTTGCTGGGTGGCTAGACTCAGAAGAGAGATAACAATCACTACAGTTCTGCTCCCAGGAAGCCGCATCCATAGGAAAAGGGGGAGAGTACTACATCAAGGGAACATCCCGTGGGACAAAAGAATCTGAACAACAGCCTTCAGCCCTAGACCTTGCCTCTGACAGAGCCTACCCAAACGAGAAGGAACCAGAAAACCAACTCTGGTAATATGACAAAACAAGGTTCTTTAACACCCCATCACTCCCCACTAGAAAATCACACTAGCTCACCAGCAATGGATCCAAACCAAGAAGAAATCCCTGATTTACCTAAAAAATGATTCAGGAGGTTAGTTATTAAGTTAACCAGGGAGGCACCAGAGAAGGTGAAGCCCAATGTAAGGAAATAAAAAAAATGACACAGGAAGTGAAGGGAGAAATATTCAATGAAATAGATAGCATAAATAAAAAACAATAAAACTTCAGGAAACAATGGACACACTCATAGAAATGCAAAGTGCTCTGGAAAGTCTCAGCAATAGCATTGAACAAGTAGAAGTAAGAAATTCAGAGGTCAAAGACAAGCTTCTTGAATTAACCAAATCCAACAAAGACAAAAAAGAATAGGAAAATATGAACAAAGCCTCCAAGAAGTCTGGGATTACGTTAAATGACCAAACCTAAGAATTACCATCATTCCTGTAGAAGAAAAGATATCTGAAGGTCTGGAAAACAGATTTGGGGGAATAAATGAGGAAAACTTCCCCAGCCTTGCTAGAGACCTAGCTGTCCAAATACGAGAAACACAAAGAACACCTGGGAAATTCATCACAAAAAGATCTTCACCTAGGCACGTTGTCATCAGGTTATCTAAAGTTAAGACAAAGGAAAGAATCTTAAGAGCTGTGAGATAAAAGTACCAGGTAACCTATAAAAGAAAACCTATCAGATTAACAGCAGATTTCTCAGCAGAAACCCTACAAGCTAGAAGGAATTGGGGCCCTATCTTCAGCCTCTTCAAACAAAACAATTATCAGTCAAGAATTTTGTATCCATCGAAGCTAAGCCTCATATATGAAGGAAAGATATAGTCTTTTTCAGACAAACAAGTGCTGAGAAAATGTGCCATTACAAAGCCACCACTACAAGAATTGTTAAAAGGAGTACTAAATCTTGAAACAAATCCTGGAAACACACCAAAACAGAACCTCTTTAAAGCACACATCTCATAGGACCTATAAAACAAAAATACAATTAAAAAAAAAACAAAGTACACAGGCAACAAATAGCATGATGAATAGAATGGTACCTCACATCTCAACACTAACATTGAATGTAAATGGCCTAAATGCTCCACTTAAAAGATACGGAATTACAGAATGGATGAGAACTCACCAGCCAACTATCTGCTGCCTTCAAGAGATTCACCTAAAGGATTCACATAAGGATCCACACAAACTTAAGGTAAAGGGGTGGAAAAAGAAGACATATGCAAATAGACAAGAAAAGCAAGCAGGGGTGGCTATTCTTATATTAGACAAAACAAACCTTCAAACAACAGCAGTTAAAAAAGACAAAAAGTGACATTATATAATGTCTCTATTTATATAATGATAAAAGGCCTTGTCCAACAGGAAAATATCACAATTCTAAACATATATTCATCTAACACCATAACTCCCAAATTTATAAAACAATTACTAGTAGACCTAAGAAATGAGATAGACAGCAACACAACAATAGTGGGGGACTTCAATACTCCACTGACAGCACTAGAGAGGTCATCAAGACAGAAAGTCAACAAAGAAAAAATTGATTTAAATTATATCCTGGAACACATGGACTTAACAGATATATACAGAATATTCCATCCAACAACTGCAGAATATACAGTATTCTATTCAACAGTGCATGGAACTTACTCCAAGATATACCACATGATAGGCCACAAAATGAGCCTCAATAAATTTAAGAAAATTGAAATTATGTCAAGTACTCACTCGGACCATAGTGGAATAAAACTGGAAATGACCTCCGAAAGGAAATTTCAAAACCATGCAAATACATGGAAATTAAATAACCTGCTCTGGAATGATTGCCAGGTCAAAAATCAAGGTGGAAATTTAAAAATTCTTTGAACTGCATAACAATAGTGACACAACCTATCAAAACCTCTGGGATACAGCAAAGGCGGTGCTAAGAGGAAAGTTCATAGCCCTAAACTCCTACCTCAAAAAGTCTGAAAGAGCACAGACAGTCTAAGGTCACACCTCATGGAACTAGGGAAACAAGATCAAACCAAACTCAGTCTCACCAGAAGAGAGGAAATAACCAAAATCAGAGCAGAATGAAATAAAATTGAAACAAAAATAAAATACAAAAGATACATGAAACAAACAGCTGGTTCTTTGAAAAGACAAATAAAATTCATAGACCATTAGCAAGATTAGCCAGGAAAAGAAGAAAGAAAATCTAGATAAGCTCAATAAGAAATCAAACAGGAGATATTACAATGGACACCACAGAAATATAAAAGGTTATTCAAGGCTACTATGAACACCTTTATATGAATAAACTAGAAAACCTAGAAGAGATGGATAAATTCCTGGAAACATACAACCCTCCTAGCTTAAATCAGAAAGAATTAGATACCCCAAACAGACCAATAAGAAGCAGCAAGATTTAAATGGTAATTTAAAAATTACCAACAAAAAAAAGTCCAGGACCAGACAGATTCGCAGCAGAATTCTACCACACATTCAAAGAAGGATTGGTACCAATCCTATTGACACTATTCCACAAGATAAAGAGGGAACCCTCCCTAAATTATTCTAAAGCTGCTATTATCCTAATACTAAAACCAGGAAAGGACATAACCAAAAAAGAAAACTATAGACCAATATCCCTGATGAATATAGATGCTAAAATCCTTAAGAAAATACAAGCTAACCGAATCCAACAACATATCAAAAAGAGAATTCACCATGATCAAGTGGGTTTCATACCAGGGATACAGGGACAGTTTAACATACACAAGTCAATAAATGGGATACACCACATAAACAGAATTAAAAACAACAATCACATGGTCATCTCAATAGATGCAGAGAAAGCATTTGGCAAAATCCAGCATCCCTTTATGATTAAAACTCTCAGCAAAATCAGCATACAAGGGACATACCTCAATGTGATAAAAGCCATCTATGCAAACCCACAGCCAACATAATATTAAAGGGGGAATATTTAAAGGATTTCCTCTTAGAACTGGAACAACACAAGGATGCCCACCCTCACCACTCCTCTTCAACATAATACTGGAAGTCCTAGACAGAGCAATCAGACAAGAGAAAGAAATAAATGGCATCCAAATTGGTAAAGAGGAGTCAAAGTGTCACTGTTTGCTGATGATATGATCATTTACCTAGAAAACCCTAGAGACTCCTCCAGAAAGCTCCAAGAACTGAGAAAATAATTCAGCAAAGTTTTCAGATATAAAATTAATGTACACAAATCAGTAGCTCTTCTATGCACCAAAAGCAACCAAGCTGAGAATAAAATCAAGAACTCAATCCCTTTTACAATAGCTAAACAAAACAAAACAAAACAAAAAACTTAATAACGTATCTAACCAAGGAAGTGAAAGACCTCTACAAGGAAAACTACAAAACACTGATGAAAGAAATCATAGATCACACAAGCAAATGGAAACACATCCCATGCTCATGGATGGGTAGAATCAATATTGTGAAAATCACCACACTGCCAAAAGCAATCTACAAATTCAATGCAAGTGCCACCAAAATACCATCACCATTCTTCACAGAATTGGAAAAAAGAATCATAAATTAATATGGAACAAAAAAATAGCCCACACAGCCAAAGCAAGACTAAGCAAAAAGAACAAATCTGGAGGCATCACACTACCTGATTTCAAACTATACTATAAGGCATTGTTACCAAAACAGTGTGGTACTGGTATAAAAATAGGCACGTAGACAAATGGAACAGAATAGAGAACCCAGAAATAAACCCAAATACTTACAGCCAACTGATCTTTGACAAAGCATACAAAAACATAAAGTGGGGAAAGGACAACCTTCTCACCAAATGGTGCTGAGATAATTGGCTAGCCATATGTAGGAAGATGAAACTGGATTCTCATCTCTCACCTTACACAAAAATCAACTCAAAATGGATTAAGGACTTAAATCTAAGACCTGAAACTATAAAAATTCTAGAAGATAACATTGAACAAAACCTTCTAGACATTGGCTTAAGCAAGGATTTCATGATGAAGAACCCAAAAACAAATGCAATAAAAATGAAAATAAACAGCTAGGACTTAATTAAACTAAAGAGCTTTTGCACGGCAAAAGGAGCAATCAGCACAGCAAACAGACAACCCACAGAGTGGGATAAAATCTTTACAATCTATATGTCTGACAAAGGACTAATATCCAGAATCTACAACAAATTCAAACAAGTCATCAAGAAAAAAGCAAACAATCCTATCAAAAATCGGGATAAGGACACGAATAGATGATTCTCAAAAGAAGATATACAAATGGCCAACAAACATATGAAAAAAATGCTCAACACCACTAATGATCAGGGAAATGCAAATCAAAACCACAATGTGATACCACCTTACTCCTACAAGAATGGCCATAATCAAAAAATAAAAAAAAAAATAGTAGATGTTGGAGTGGATGCCAACAGGGAACACTGCTACACTGCTGGTGGGAATGCAAACTAATACAACCACTATGCAAAACAGTGTGAAGTTTCCTTAAAGAACTACCATTTGATTCAGCAATCCCACTACTGGGTATCTACCTGGAGGGAGAGAAGTCATTATACAAAAATGATACTTGCACACACGTTTATAGCAGCACAATACATAATGGCAAAAACGTGAAACAAATCCATCAATCCATGAGTGGATAAAGAAACTGTGAGATAGATATATATATATATATATATAATGTATGTGTGTGTGTGTGTGTGTGTGTGTGTGTGTGTGTATAATTAAATACTACTCAGCCATAAAAAGGAATGAATTAATGGCATTCACAGCGACCTGGATGATATTGTAGACTATTATTCTAAGTGAAATAACTCAGAAATGGAAAACCAAACGTCACATGTTCTCACTCATAAGTGGGAGCTAAGCTATGAGGACTCAAAGACATAAGAATGACACAATGGACTCTGGGGACTCAGGGGTAAAGGGTGGGTGGGAACGGGGTGAGAGAAAAAAGACTTCAAACAGGGTTCAGTGTATACTGCTAAGGTGATGAGTGCACCAAAAGCTCACATATCACCGCTAAAGAACTTACCCATGTAACCAAACACCACCTGTTCCCCAATAACCTATGGAAATTAAAAAACATTTAAATAAATTAAAAAAAAGTTAAAAAGATTTTTTAAAAGATAATTGGTAAAAAGGGAGAGAAAACCACATTTTCCAAAGTCATATTTACTGTTCTAAACTTTCACTATAATCTACTGAAGAGTTAGAACAATCCCACAGATGGGAATCAGCATACCCAGACTTGCCCTCTTTCGGTGTGGCCTTGGGCATGTTACTTCACTATTCCTAGCTTTGGTTTCTCCATCCTAAAAATTACAGTACTGAAATAGGTCAGTGTTCTTAAAACTGTGTTTTCTAAGCACTGGGAGATCAGAACAAACTGAAGAATGATCTTCGTGGTGGAACTGAACAGACAAGAATTGAACAAACAAGAATCTCATCCCCACACAGATCAGCTCTCCTTATAGAACTCTTAATATAATGTAGTTCTACAGAAGAAGCCAAACCAAATCAAAATAAATAAACACAATCCAGTCTGAAAAATCTTTAGGCTAGATGATATCTGTGGTCACTTTTACCATGGCTTTCTCAAATATTGAGCTCCACATATGGAGCATTCTGTACTACTACTTTCTGTGATTATAATGATAATCAATAGCAATAAAGACCTTAGACACTACAAATTTCAAACTTCAAGCTATATTCAATGCACTTTTGGTATTAAGAATCTTTCAGTTCCAATGATTTGAAAGCAGATAAGCCATTCTTATTGCTTATGCTAACTCTGTGTGTGTATGTATCTCAATCTAATAATTTGAGCAATTTCATGATACAGCTAGCATTTTTGAGTGTTTGCTCTGTGTCACCTAGTATATTAAAAGCTTAAAATGTATTTTCTAGTTCAATCCTTAGAAAAACTCTTTTAAGTAATATTATTATTCCCAACCCAGAAATGCATAAACTCTAGCACAAATAATTTAACTAGCTTGCTCATGAGCCACAGGTAGTAAAAGGCAAGGGTGGGATTTGAACCTAAGTCTACTTGTCTATGACTTTATGTTGTACTTATCCTATGAGGAGATTCAAATAATCAGATAGTTATCAGATGGAGCAATTAAAATATATAGATCTCTTTGATACATAAAAAAAATAAAATTAAAAAAAAACGAGGATATTAAATCCCTCTGTGAGAAGAGCTAGGCTTTCTCCAGCAGGAAAGTTTCATCCAATGAGTAGGAAGAAGGAGAGTTTAAGGTTTGCTCAGAATCATGGGGGCAATGGTATGCACTGTGAAACACTATTACTTTATTTCCTTATTTGATTTTTCAAATGTGAGCTTGGCTGAAAGTCTTTAGCTAAGTTAATGACATTAAAACAAACAACAGCATATGCTAAGTGAACTGCTATAGTCAAAAGCAGTGACAACTGTGTATGTTTTCGGAAGGTGGTAAGATATGAAATAGGGAAAGTATGATGAAACAGATATCCCATTGTAATGCCACCTCCTCGACCGAGAAGACTAATAACTACTTAATGGGTGTTGACTCCAAAGATGCTTCATTTTAATCTTTTAATTGCATATGAATAAAGCTTTAATGGAGCAGATTAGATCCACGGCACAATAATCTAAAGAGACCTGGATAGTGTGTTTCTACAAACTCTGAGCAGGTCAGTAGCTGGATGACTCCTTATAATTCAAAGATACTCATCCCTTTTATTAATAATTGTTTAAGCAATTCAGTCAAAAAATAAGGGATCACCATACAATGACCCCTATGATTCAGACTGTTATATTCAGAAAATCTTCTTATAACTCTTGAAGCGATGGTAACTTGCATCCTAAATTGAGTTTTAGAGCTGCTCTGTCTTAATACAGGCTTTCACAGGTGAAACAGTTTCTCGGGATGTTAGCTAACTAACAACTCAACCCCAGTCTGGGCTGTTCATTTTTATTTTGCAGCTTTATTCATTATCTATTCTCAACAAGTATCTGTGAAGGTTGAAGAATAAGAATTATCACAAAATTTATTTAAATAAAGTTTTTACAGAAAAAAGAGAGAGAGAGTAGACAAGGGAAGGACCTTGACCTCAACTTTTTCCTTAACTATGAATCATTGACACAAAACATTGTATTTTTAAATTTTTCTCATGAGGTATAATTAGAAATTCCAATGAAAAATACTAAGGAATAAACGTAGAAACAGAAGATAAACATGACTAATATGAGAGAGATTTGTTAGCTATTGTAAGATTTTACCTTTTTGATAACTAAATGTCATGAACAACTGATTTTTATAGCATTCTCAGCCAATAAGCACAGGAAACATATAGTATTAATAAAAATAATACTATACAAATGAATAGTGTTAATCCATTCATAGGCTCTTCTAATCCTTCTATTATATGCTAATGCATCTGGCATGGAATTCTATTTATTCTGTTTCTTTTTTCAATGTTTCTCCTGATTTCTTTGTCAAATTCAACATCTTTAAAGGTAAATAATATTTCATTTTACCAACATGCTACAATTGTTTGTTCATTTTTCAGAGTAGGTAGTTGAGCTACTTCAAAATGACATTATTTTGCAGGTGACAGATCTTTACAACTTTGACAAGTTCCTGATTTTCACATGACAATAATTTTTATCTCACCTTCTTGAAAAATGCATGCTAAGACTGTGAGCTTTGGGGTTAATTTGTGGTTTTAGCCCCTACATTTTCACATTTAAGGGAAACATCTGTCCTACTAGTCATTGTTGTTTTTATGTCAACTGACAATGCATTCAAATACTGATTAAAATAAGAAGACGCCATGGGCTTCCAGTGCATATCAAACAGAAGAACAATGAACATCCAGATTACATTAGAAGGACTGTGACTGAAGACATTTAGAGTATGTGTTGATAGGGTAATTACTAGGTGGAGTAAATTGCAACGTAGAAGCCTCAAAAAGTACTTGTATAGTTTCTTTTCCACAAAAGAGGTCTTGTGTTTGAAAAAAAAAAAAGAAGCTTTTAAATTCTAGTAACTTCCAAAATCAATTGCATCAAGTTCAATTGTAAGAATATTTTTAGTGTTCCTCTCTGAAATGCATAATACATATTAATTTTGAGTGAATAATTTTTAGTACTGGAAACCATACCTGATCTGGTGGTTTCTTCTTCACTCCATGCAGTGAGAATCAATAGATTGATGTGGAGAGACAGTTACCTGGGGTGATCTAAAATGAAAAAGGCATTTTAAAATTAGGAAAAGAAACCTGCAAACTTCAATAATAATGGCCTCATTATAGGATGTTTTTCAGTCAATCAGCAGCATTTACTGTGTATCCACTGTGTACTGAGCCCAGTTTTATGTGGAGATGCAAAAGAAAGAGTAGAGAGAATCTAGCTTAATGCTGATAAATACTTGTGAAATAAATGAATAGTAAATGAAAATAGAAAAAAAATCATAATCATTTTTCTGGATGACTAGTTGGTATAAATTATTTGGGAAGGAAAGATATCACATATTTGATATATGTATTTATGTAATCATTCAAAAATATTTTAATTTGTATCACTTTTTATATGCTGAGCAGAGAGACATAGTACCTCCGAGCTTAAAGCTTTGGTTTCAAGGTGTATATACACTGGGGATGCATAAAGAAACTAAAATTTCTGAGATCTCACTGTGTTCAGTGTTTGCCTTTATGAAGCTTATTGGGGTAATCACTTTTGTCTCTCAGAAATATCTTATTTCAACATGGTTATTTACACGGCAACTGGGATTAAGGTAATGAACACCATTTATAGTAGTGTCAAACTCAAGCCTGCTACTGATATCAGTTTACTTTGACCATGACCCGGGGGTAGTTACTAGACAATTCACCAAAGGCTATAGGCAAACCAAAGATATGTATGGCAAACGGATAAAGAAGATCACTAAAAATGATATAGGCCAATGAAACAAGACTTCATGTTTTATTTCTCATTATTGGATTTACAGTTAGAATGTGTTTGGCACACAGTGAATACTTAATAAAAGCAAGCTAAATTAATAAGTGAGGAACGCCAGGAAGATGTTACTCAAATATCTATATCAAATATGCACCCAAATAATAGAAATGCTTAGCACCATCTTTGAATTATCTATGATTATAATCTTTATTTAAAATAAATAATAGCATTGTATTTATAATTGGAAGAAAACATTATTTTGCCAGCTATAGCCATAGCAGTTTTAAATACACACAGAAACTTCTTAAATAGAGGTCCCTTGTTTTAATGTAATTTGATGGAGTTTTTAAAGTTTTTAATTGATGTTTTTTAAAGATGAACTGCTTTCTACAAGAGAAAAAGAAGAATTTGGAGATCCCAGGTACTCTGAAAGGTAGAAGGGATAAGATGAGGGGAGGAGAACAGAGGAGGAAGAAGAGGAAAGAAGGAATCAATGAAATGGATGGCCATTCCCAAAGACTTCCAAATTTTCAGTAACATAGACAAAATTCATGTATAATGTGAATATAGACATACTTTTGTATATATTGGAAAAAGGAATGCATTTCAGATGGAATTTACACAGCTTGGAAGAATATAAACTCCCTAGGTAATTAACACACATTTTAAGAAGAGCTATTTAAATTTCATATGCCATGAAATTCAGAGAGGTATTCAAAAAATTTCATATAGATTAAAGATCTTGAAGAACATAAATACCACAATATTATTTATGCAATATAAAATATAAATATTAATCTCAGTGTGGTAGGCTGAATAACCACCCCCCGCTCCAAGATGTGCACCTTCCAGTCTCTAGAGCCTGTGAATATTCCCACACGTGGCAAAAGGGACTGTACAGATGTGATTAAATTAAGGATCTTGAGATGAAGACATTGTTCTGGATTATCTGGGTAGGCCCAAATATAACCAGAAAGGTCCTTATAAGTAACAGATGGAGCAAGAGGGACCATCACAGAGAGATTTGAATATGCTATGCTGCTGGTTTTCAGATGATAGAAGGGACCATATAAGCAAAGGATGCAGGGGCCTGTAGAAATTGAAAAAGGCCAGGAAAAAAATTCTCCCCTAAAGACTCTAAATTTATGCAAAATTGTTAGACCAACAATAAGCAACTAATACACTAAGTAAAATCTTGATTAACTAGGAGTCAAATTTGGATTGAGACTATCAGAAGTTTTCAACACATGGTCAAATAATAAGAAAACAATCAGATTGTTTAGGTATATGGAGAGGGAGAGGATACACACCACTGAAGTGAAGCCCTTAATATGGTAAATTTTATTTTATGTAAAATTTTATATTATGCAAATTATATCTAAAAAACAATAAATCACCTGTGAATAAAGATTGCACAATAATAAGCAAGTTTTATTTTAATCTATTGTTTGAACCATTTCAATGCAACACTAATCTATTTTCTTCTGTTTTCTGAAAATATGATGATGATAATCATAACAATTTTGAAGACAATAACCGTGGTGCTTTTTGTCCATCCTGAATCTTTTAAAGTCTATTCCTAACCTAAAGAAATATAATACATTAAAGAAAAAAAACACTTTCTAAATATAATACTCACCATTCAATTACTTGATTCTGACCCACTACGGAGTCTGATCCATTCCCCAACATTATTCCTTACTTCTTTTTGACCGCCTTATTTTTTTACTGATTTCTATCCAACTTAACCTCAGCCCCAGATTCTTTTTGTCAACCTGATTCTACTCTGAATACCGCTTTCACCTCTGCTCCAGAGTGACTCTGTGATCTGCCTTTCAAGAGGGACCTAGTGCCTGGGCTTGGCTTTCCTCTACACTGAGATACAACTAGACAGTCCACCCCCAAATCCAGAGCAGATAATGGAAAGTATCTTTCTCCACATCATCATCATCAGGATATTGGTCAATATCATAATAGAAAGAAAAATGGAATTATGAAAAAAGTAAGTAGGTCAAGATAGTGCCTGTAAGGAAGGCTTTTTTCTGTGGTGGAACCTTGAAGATAGTAAGGAGCTTGGTACATATGATGGGGAGACACGAGCTCAGATGTGGAGAGAGAGAGCAAATGAAGATGGTCCAGAAAATCCAGCTCCATCTTACTATAGCCCACAGCTAATAGTATTGTTCTAGAGATTAGAGAAGATGGGAGAAAAAAATAAAACCTGATTCAGCTTAGCAGTTTTTCAGTTAACAATATTGAACACTGTATCAATAAAATATTACTCCAAGCATCCATCACAAAGATCACAATGAAAGAAAGAGATTTGAGTGTTCAGTGCTCTGAAAATTTTTATAACTTTCACTTCTTGGATTCACATTTAAGAGGACTGTGTCAACAGAAATCTTAGGAATATATTTTATATTTTATGAAGTAGCACTTTTATTTGTAAGCTGATATTTAGTGACTGTGATGGGCCAAGAATTGTGATAATTACTTTCTGCGTATCATATTATTTAGTCATCATAACAAATGCAAAATTTGGTACTATCTTTTTTATTTTATAAACTTCAAAACTAAAGATCAAAGAAATTAAATAACTTTATCCGATTGGTAAACATTGATACAGATTCAATTTCATGTCTGTCCTACTATAAACTTGTGCTTTAAACCCTTTGGGGATATAACATCTTTTTATATACAAATAGTGTAGCATGTTGCCACTACTAAAGCCAAAATTTCAGCTTTAAAAAAAGACCATTTGGGTCTTCTATAAAACGTAGATAATGTTATTCACAAGGCAGAGTGTCTTTGTGCTATATTTATTGCCTTTTTCTCTCATTTGAGGACATATGCCTGATAGAAAATAGCTGAATTTTCTCATAGAGAGAGCCCTTTCCTTCTTTCAGCATTTTGCCACTATTGCAAAAAGATTGTCCCAATTTCAAAGAACAGATGCAACGACTAATGGCAAATAAGTAATGGAAGCTTTTATCGGTGACTCAGTAAGTTTCAAAACTTAAAATATATAGAAAAGTGTCACTCTGGAAAACAGAATTATTTAAAGCCGCTCCTAATATTTCAGCTTGGCTGCAGACAAGTAAAGTGATGCCAGAAATTAACAAAACACATCAGGTTCAGAGAGCTATAATTAATCTTGTCAGTGGATGTGGCAGGACAGATTCCTATTTAAACTTGCATCTTGATGAGACTTCTCCCTCATTTACTGTATCAGTACAAAACTCACTAGGGACTCAAGGGATCTAAATCCATCAGAGTGGTTTTATAGTCCAGTTCATGCTTGTTGCATGCCCTGACTTGTGCTTGGTGGAATTAAATATTTAACTAACAGTGACCATGGTGTTGTTGAAAAAGCGGCAGCTTTTAGTGCATTTTTTATACACACTGTTGAGGAACAAATATAAAATTAAAAAGTCTCTGTCCAAGACCTGAGATAGAATTAATGGTCAGGGGGAAAATGCAATCTGTGCTTAGTTCCTGTAACTGAATTATATTACAAAGCTTTCTAAATATAGGTATGCATCATAGTCTGCAATGGTTAGAGTGAAATGTGAAGGATCATAAGCAATAATTCTATCATTAAATTTTAATGTGGAAGCACAACTTGGATAAGAAAGCATGCTTCTAAACCTTATAATACTAGAGAAGGCAAATTATTTTGAAACCTGAGACATGAGTTAAATTATTATCTTTTGGTACCACTTAAAACAGACAAAACAATTGTAGTTATGAGAAAAATGAAGATCTCTTAGTAAACAAATGGGTAAATTATAGAGTTTTATTTTGATCAGACTTATTTCTTGTTATTTAATTTGCTCTAGAAAAACATTTAAAAAGAAAAAGACTAAAAGAATGCAGTTAATTGTTAGTTTTGCTCATATGCTTTCTATTTGCCATTGTTCTTACTTTTTAAGTTTCTGTTGTTAACCAATAAAGCACAGCATGACACTAGGTTGTAATATGACATGCCCTTTATTCATTTATTTAATTAACATTACAATAAAGTTAATAAAATAGAGAAGTGTTTCTATTATCAGAATAGCAAAAATGACAAAAGAAGAACAGTTTAAATTCTCAAATTTAAGTCCAAGTAATTTGTAATCTGCATAGTGTCAGAGAGGTAGGGTATGATCTATTCTGTGATGTGCATTAGAATAGTGGAAAGCAAAACAGAAATAAATATATAAGAATATATATATATATAATATGCATAGCAGGTAAAAGTCTAGGACTTACTGGATCCAGTTACAGTGATTTCTTGATATTCTACGTAGGAACCTCCTTGATTTAATGTGAGAGTAATTTTAGATAACTGCTATTCTTTGGGCCCATTTTAGGCCAGTTGCCTTGAATTGGCACCAAACATTAATTTTCTTTGTATTTTATTGAATATGAACACTATATTATATGCTTATTTTGTCTATTTGTTGATTATTTGTCTTCGCTACGATGGAGGTTTTACGGTGATAATGATTGTCTCTCTTTCAGCCTTTTTACACAAAGACTTTTGAAGATTGATTTACTTTGATTGTTTGTGAGGACCCAAAGACCATCTGATGTCTAACATGCAGACATCAGACCGTAATTGTTTTTCTCTAGGTGCTTCAATCCAGGTTTATCAAGCGTTCAGACCCATGGGGATAAAGGAAGTAGTGATCATTTATCATCATAAAGGTTTGAGAAGTTTTCCCAGAGCAGCTGTATTCACAATTTTATGTATTTTCTCATGCATAGTTACTCTGGAATCTGTTTCTTTCTCTACCTTTATTTCTTCATAATGTTTTGTTCACTTGCTAATGTTTACTCTACTCATTCCAAATTTCTTCTACTTTCTAGAATGCATCCCATGCTTCACTGTCTCTGGTCCTTCAGTCCATCTGTCTGAAATAGTCTTTTCCTTCGATCTCACTGCTGTGTTCAGCTGGTGGGCTTTTACTCATCCTTAAGGTCAGTCCAGGTGTCACTTCTTTTGAGAAATCTTTTTCTGAGTCTCTGAATCTAGGTTTGGTGTCTCTGTTATATGATCTCATATTATCACTGATGTTCCCATCACAAGGTTTACCATTCCTATCACCACCTCCATTATAATTACTTGAGTGACAGCTTCCAATGGAGAAGAAGCTCCCTGAAGGCCTAGTCCACTACATGGTTATTCATCTTTCTGTCTCCACATATTTATTACATCTCTAATATATGCATAAATATATATATATATAAACATATTTTATGTATAGTGGTAAATAATTTGGACCTTATCCAGTGATGAGTAGAAATATCACTATGTCATGAAAATATATGATCACTAATATTCTCTGAAAAACTGGAAAATGCCAAATTCTTTAACATACTTTTTTTATAAAGAAAAGAAAGATTCAAAATATGAAAACAACCTTCCATTTAATATACTCTTGGGATATCTCTCTCAGGTCTGGGTCCTGAGATGCCAAATTTTTGTCATCTAGAGAGCTCAGATATGCAGTTCAGCTCTTCACTGATCACACTGGATTCATAGGTGAGCTAATCTGCAGGCTTTTATGACACTTGCTTTATGGTATGAGTGTTGGAGGCTGTTACCACTTTTCACTAAAAGGAGATAAGACCACAATCAGAATGATCTGCAATACTATCAGAAAGATTATAACATGCATTTTGCCATATTATAATGTTGTATGATTCAATATTTTTCTAGGTGATTATTTTCTCATAGTTACTTATTTAATTATTCTATAAAACACCCTTCTACCACTGTTACAATTTTGTTTTATGCTTCTCAAGATTTGTATACCTTTCTGAGGCACTCAGCAAGGTGTGCCTCATAAGGTGCTGTTAGTCTGTGTTGCTGTGTAACTCTAAGCTCCTCAGTCTCTTCTATTTTTGAAAAACATTTGAGGAACAAATATGCCCTTGTGTCACATATCCACCTCATGCTGGTTTCTGTAATGCCTGAGATCTGAGTCACAATGTCACCCAATTAAATTATGACAGGGATTAGATCTAAAGTGGCAGGTGCAATATGAGACATATTAATTGATACATATAAATTATGATATAGAGACTAGGCACATGAGCCAAGGTTTTTGGATTTGATTACCACCAATGTGTTCATGTTTCAACTCCTTATATCACTCCTATCTGTGACTGGTGTCTGAAATCAAAGGATTCTAATGTGATTTAATCAACCAATAAGCTGTAATTAAGCTGTGACTGAGCTTCTTTGATCTCTGAGACTGCTGGTCTCTGAGACAGCCATCACTGTGGGAGGACCCCTGAATGGGGGAGAAACCACTACTTTTAAATGGCTACTAAGTACCAGCCATTGTGAGAACTTCTTCGACATACATTATTGAGACAAGTCCGAGAGGTAGGGATTACTACTCCAGTTTTACACATGTGGAAACCGAGGTTCAAGTTAAGTTTTAGAGCAACCAGGGAAGGCATTTGGAGTTTGAATCCAGTTATGTCCAAAGCCCAGGCAGCCAAGGAACAATAGTGCTGCTGAAGCTATAATTAGGAGCAGGTTACATACACCTTTTCTCTCTATTGCAATCACTTAGGGAGACTAGGAAGAGGCAGATGAAAATGACAGATGCTTCCCCAGGAAACATAAAAATTTATTATTCTTTTATATAATTCATGGACTCTCTGAAACTCATCCACAGATGCCTGGATCTCAGATTAAGAACTCACAACCTACAAGGCAGAAACCCAGTCTCATTAATTTTTGTTTCCCATTTGGTGCCTAGGATCTCTGCTAGGCACAGACTAGGCACAGGTCAACAATATAAAGATTGTTGAATAGAAAAAAGAAATTAATGAATGAAAGACTAAATAAAGTATTTCTTCACTCTTCATTGTTAAACCAAATTATGCCTATTCAGGTGTTTATCTTACTTATATATCACTGAGTCTCATGATATAAAATTTGTTGATTATCTCCTAAATGCCATGTTCTTGTTAGTCTATTATTTAAGTTAATCCTTATCATAGCTTTCAGTCGTATAAATCTTATAGTCAACATTAGAATAGTGCCTGATACAGAGTGGGAAAAATTAAGTTATAGAAAAAATACAATATGTGTTCAGTAATACTAGCATTTATTATACACTTATATGTAATACACAAATTTAAATGCCTTACATATATTATCCTAGGTTAACCCTCACAACCTATGAAGCATGTGTTCATACTAATTTTGTTTTACTAAAGATATAGCTGAGATTTGGGGCAAATAAAATGTTTTGTCCTTGGTCAAAAAGCTATTAAGGAACAGAACCAAGATTTGAATCTGGTGATTTCTGACCTTAAATCTCATGGAACGTGAGACACAGAGAGAAAATAACGTGTCTAGAGCCACACAGCTACTAGGTCAAAGTAGGAAGATTATGCCCACTGTTCTTTTCACTACAACATTTTCATTCTACATTCCATCATTGTTATGGACTAAATATTGTGCCCCTACCAAAATAAAATTCATATGTTGAAATGTTAGTCTCTGATGTGATGATGCTAGGTGGAGGGGCCTTTTGAAAGTAATTAGATCATGAGGGTGGAACCTCAAGAATAGAATTAGTGCTCTTATAAGGAGAAACACAAGAGCTTGCTTTCTTTCTCTCTGCTCCCTGCCATGTAAGGCTACAAAAAGAAGACAGCTATCTATAAACCACAAAATGAGCCTTCACCAGACACCAGGTCTCCTAGCATAGTGTCTTGGACTTCACAGTCTCTAGAACTATGAGAACAAATGTTTGTTGTTTCAGCCCTGTCTACAGTAATTTTTTATAGCAGCTGAAATGAACCAAAACAATGCTTTAACATTATAAAACTGATAGGCATCACTTTCCTGCTAGCCCTGATTTATATAATGTGTTGGCACTAAAGCTGTGGTCTCTGTAGGTCAAGAAAAGACAGAGACTAACTTGACTTACAAAACTTAGGAGTTTCATTAACCTTATGATGCTCCCAACATTTCTGGAATAGAGACATCAAATATACTGCAAATGCTTAAACTTGACCTAAAGCTTATTTAGGCTAGAGAACTTCTCATATTTCTCCATTTTCATCTCAGTTTGTTTCTGTACTGAAACTACAGCAATTGCATTCCATAATAACCAGTCAAAAGAACTATCAAAAGAGGCAAAATATACCTCTTGGCATTTTATTTTATGAGATTTGATTAATTATAACACTATCTATTAGAACGTATGTAAAAAGTAAAGTAGGGGATCCTCTTCAAAGACTTTCCTCCACATCTAATTAGGAATAAATAGTAACTTCTCTTAGAAGCAAAATTTATTCAAAGTCCTGTGCTAACATTCTTAAATATTTGCTAGCTGTAATAAAGAAATCAATGTACTTTATGTAAGAACATTATGTAAGAACATAAAGTACATTGCTCCCACAATTTAGCCTAAATATTTGCCCTGGCATGCTTATACTGGTCCAAGCAAGCATTAGGTCATAGCCTGTTCCTCTTCTTTATTTGAAGGTGTTTTTACCTTTCTCAGCATTCCACAATTTACTTCCTCCTTCCTTTGTTCTCTTCTGCCTTTGCCTCTTTTAAAAAGTTCTAAGTTGATAGCCAATCAGGACAAATACAGGATGTGAGGTCCCATTCCAGTCAATGGAAACTAGACACAGCAATAGGATGGATGCATCAGGTTATAAATGACACTGTCTCCTTTGTTCGGTGTACTCTCATGGCAAAACTGCTGGCGAGTGTACCCTTTCCGCAGAAAGTAAAAAATTGCCTTCCTGAGGAAATTGATGTCCAAGTGCTATTTCTTTATGGCACCAGGGAATAAACATTTCTAACAATGTAGAATTTGAAGCTATTTCTAGGCTTCTGACATTATAATACCTAATTATATGTTTTAAGTCCATGTGTGCTTTCCCCATACATTAATTACAAAGTTACATACACTCCCCTTAACAAATAAAAGTAAATTTTAAACTACAGGAAAACATAAAGTGTGGATTTTTACATCAAAAAGACAAGTATTTAAATCTTGTCTTCATTCATTGATAGTTGTGAAAACTTTGGCAACATATCTCTAATCTAAATCACAGTTATATCCCCAGTAAAACAGAGATAGTAGGAAGGTTTCTCATAGTTATAGATATTAATGTAAGATAATATAAGTAAAGCACTGGGAATAGTTCCTGCATATAAAAAGTACTTAATACATATTAATTTTATTAAATAAGCATCTTATATTCTTCCTAAGACTTAGACTCGCTTGCTATGTGGTAGTCTCAGATCTCTCTCTCTCTCTATTTATTTTCCTACCTATTTCTACCTATCTATTTATCCATTCAGCCATGTATTCTTTTATCTAAATTAGTCTCATTTAGTCTTCATCCTGATGTTTCATTGTTATCCCCATTTCATGAAAGAGAAAACTAAAGCTCAGAGAGGTTAAATAATTTGTACAAAATCACACATTTAGTAAAACTGAATTTCCTTGCATATATCTTTTTCTGTCTTTGACTACTATGATCATAAAGGAATCATAGACAGTTCCATTACAAACAGAAAACAAAATATGCACAACGGCCTTGCCCCAATGCTACTTAAAGCTTCTGTAGCAGGCCTTATGCAAAGAATATAGAGCTCAAAATTTGAGCTAAGTTTAAACCCTGGGTAACTATGATCAATTAAATCACTTAACCTCTCAGAGACTCATTTTTGTCTCATCTACCAAATGGGAATAAAATAATATAGGGACCCTTGCTAGGTTCATATCTTTTCCGATAAAGAACCTTTTCCATACAGTATATAAACGGCCTAAGTGCTGTAAAGAGATGACTTTGTACTCCAGGTGAAATGCCTACTGCAGGACTATGTATTTTAGGTTATCAAAAATCCCTGTAAGCAGCAAGCATTCAATAGATGTTTGTTGATTAGTTTAATAAAACATTTTGGAAACAATTTACAGAATAACAGGTAAATCCATAGATTTGGATCTTTAAAGTTCAAAGTCTATTACATATGCGGCTCCTGCCTGGCAATGAATTTTTCTTTCACTATCCTTCAGTGTCCCAGGTCCAATACTTTGTTCATTTAACCCTATTTAGCCAAATGCTGTCTCGTTCATTAGGTTATGTGGAGGAACTATTATGGTCAATTTGTGTAGCTTGGCAACAGCTAAAATTACAATGGAGATTCCATAATCACTACTATTTAAGTTTATGAACATTTTTGAGAAAGTAACACAAAGTGACTTTCATAAGAATTTAAGAGAGTTTGATTAGCATTATAAATTATGTTTTTGTGACTTTTTCAGTGTTTTTCCACTTCAGTGCGAATGTGATTGAGAAGGCAGCTGTCATCTCTTATCATGCGACAGACAAAAATTGTTATTGTTATTAACTTTATGAATTTATCGAATTATTAGTTGTAAGCTCCAAATGCATTTTTAAAAAGAAGGACTGAAGTACACAGACTAGGAAATATAGCTTTGTGAATTGTCTTGCAGTTTACATTTCTACTGACAATTCTAATCATTTGTTCAAATACAAAACCTTGTTTTTATTGAACAAGTTAGGGCTTAGTTAAGAAACTCAAATAAAATTTCCTTAGTTCCTTTTCATTTCACATTATCATGCCATCTGTCACTAAAGTACACAAATTATCTGTTTCACTCACTTTCTATATTCACTGTCCACCGGCTTCCTAAATCTGCATTCAAATGTTTCCTCCTCCTCCTCCACTACCTCTGAGGGAGGGCCTAAGGAAGGGCCTTGTCATCTGCACAGTTATTCCAGGTTCCTACTCAGTCTCCCAACTGTCTTCAGCCTTTCTCATTCCTGACCTAACATGACAGGTGATTCATAAAATCCCATCCTGGGCATGTGCCTTCTGAAAAGTTGATAGAATTCAGGTTGGCCCTTCTGTAGCTCCTGGATACAGGCTGGTTGTAAGCCTCAAGGTTTTTATCCTCTGCAGATGACCATTGAACCTGCCGAAGCTCCAACTTCTGAAGCCTCACCCAGATGGGGGCAGCTACACCCCTACTCTATCCTCAGAAAGAGTATGAACTGTCTTCAATATTTTTTCCACACCACCCCATTTTTCTTGCTAAACATGTCTGACTCTTGCATAGCTCATTAGTAGTGCTCTTTTGCTGTATGGCGTAGCATGCAACAATGTGGCAGCAAATACATGATGCTTTCATTTCCTATCACGTGCATTGTTTTGTGATAGTTTTGCACATGCTGTTGCCTTTCTTAGAATGATCATTTGTCTGTCTCTAGCCTAGAAAATTTCAGCTCATCCTTCAAAGCCCATTTTCTATATGAATCCTTCCTTCATGCAACTCTCCTGCTCCTTAACACAAGAAGTTGGCAGCTCCATCCTCTGCACTTTATAGCACTTTGATTTTAAGAATATCTCTCATCTAAAACTCATGCTGTATTTGAGTTGGATATGTATGTTCCTGTCTCCCTGACAAAACAACAAATTCCCTGAGGGAAGGAATCATGATATGCTCATTTCTATATCTCTAAGGCATGCCACAGTGTTTGCACATAAGTACGACACAATAAAAATCTTGTTTGAATTTTTGAATTCCTATTTAAAAGATGTCCTTTCTCGAAAATGAAATATATAGAAGAGATGTTGGAACTGGAAGTGATACACAGCGATGGGAGAGAAACTAGCACTTGGTGTCCTGTCCTAAATTAATAATGTTCAAGTCAAAAATCTGAAACAAGATACTAGTCATGAATGAGACAAGTGGTTCATATTGTGCTACGACATATTAAGAAGCAAGGGAGGAAAACAAACATTTATTAAGCACTTAGCATATACCAGCCAGCATGGTAGGCATTTTAACAGACTTAACTTATTTAACGTACACGACCTCGTGAATAATATATAATTCCTATGGCATCAGCAGGAGTTGTCGTTCAGTGAGATGAAGTGGTTTGCCTGCAATGTCATTGCTGGGAATTTCAGAGCTAAGCTTTCAAACCAAGTTTGTGCACATCAAGAATTAAACTTTTTCACTTACAAATGCCCATTTCAAAGTCACATATGTAGTAGGAACTCGACGGGTGTTGACAACAATAGTTTCAGTAATGAACATTTCCAACCTTTACTGAGTGCTTATTTTGAGTCAGGGACTCCGCTTAGCACCAGGGACACAGAGGTGAATTAGACACATCTTTAAAGGCTTTCAAATGTATTTGAATTGAATTGAACTTAAAGCTTAGGCTATTCAACCTTAAAGTAATTCTGTGGTTTATCAAACAAACAGAAAGTGCTTAGTTTTGTTTGGCTTTGTTTTGCTTCTGTGACTATATGAGGAAGGGGAAGAGTCTCTTTATCAGTGTAGAGGCGAGAGGCTCTCTTCCATGCCAGGCGAGTGACTTCAATAATTACGAAAGGAGCTGAGGACACCAGTTCCTTCCAATTAGCTTCTGTTACTGAGTGCTTCTGACTGCTTGCCTGACAGCCACAAGCAGATTGGAGGGAGAGGAGTGCACACAAGATTTCTTTGCATTTCCTAGTTCACAGATTAAAGACACTGTCAAGAGCAAGTTGGAGTTGAGGAATTGATTTATTTGGCGCTGAGAGTGTGGGGAAGGGCCGCTTCTGATTCATTACAAACAAGGCTGAGGAAATTTAATATTATGTTCTACCTCTTGGTACACAAACTAAACATTTCTCTTTTTTTTTTCTTTTCGGATACATTTACTCAGAGAGTCTCACTACCCAAAAATATGGCTATGTCCAGCTTCTTTAAATCCCAGCCCTTAACAACTTTAGTGGTAGCTATTGAAACTGTGATGACCCTGGCTGAAATGCTTGCTGGGGGCTATAGATGAAGAGTGAGAGTGAGTGGCCATTAGACAAGGTAGAGAAGACCCCGGAGAACCTGATCTAGGCCAAAAAGAAAGCAGTCTAGGTTACCAGGCCCAAAGGAACATCATTATAATAACATCCTTCACAGTAATAGAAATGCAGTCATAGCAACCACTCAAACAACATCTTCCTGTGCTAGGCCTTTCTAGAGCTTTATGTGTTTGTAGGTGTTCATTTTAATATTCACTCCATTTCTATGAGGTAAGGACTATTCTGTTCACTTAACAAATGAAGAAACCAAGAAACAGAAAGGTTAAGTAATTTGCTAAAGAATAAGGAGCTTGTAAATAGAGGGATTGGATAGTGAAATCTAGCCCAGCTTGTGTTGGTTTAAAAGCCAAAAAGATTTGCAAGAGACATGATACCACAGTGACAGAGTCTATATAAAATATCAGGAAAGTGCTGTGTATACATGTAAATGTATGTGTGGATGGTTATAAATACATGCATATATATCCACACATATGTGTATAGGGGTGTATGTGTGTATGTATGTGTGTGTGTGTGTGTGTGTGTGTGTGTGTGTGTGTGTGTAGAAAGAGCTAGACCGTGCAAATGTCCTCATCAAAATTTCTTCCTGGATTAGCATCCATTGATGATTCTTTACTAATCTAGTCTTTACTATGACAATGCAAAAAGTTAATTTTCTAACTTATATACTCCTTCCACCTTAACCAGTGGGCACTTAGCTTTTTATTATAATCCTTCTCTTTCATTGATTGATGTATTAATTTATGTATTATTCAGTCTGGCCAAATTAATTCCCATTTTTTTCAATGGTTTATAATTCTATATTGTACTTAAATATTTTGGTGTTCAAACTGTCCCAGGTTTGGGCAGTGGAAGCCATATCAAGCTAACTTCTATGTTCTTATGACATGCTTCTATTACTTTTTGAAGTATTTCCTAACTTTCTAGCATAAGAAGATATTCCAGGCTCATCTTGTACCTACCCTACCTAGTCCTGAAGTCAGCCTCTTCTCTCAGGTCTCTGCTTCATGATAGTATGAAATAGTGTTAAGTACAAAGATTTGGGAGTGAGGTGTACTCATTACTGTCAGAGTATCTTTGATTCTTGGCCCTGTCAGCAAATGGAGCTAGAAAACACATGCAGGTGTATGTATATAAATACATCCAATTATACATACACACATACAAATGCATTCATAAATGTACAATGCACAGAAACAGGCATACACACACATACACAAATACATATTTTAGAAATCATGAATTCACACTGATGCCTCAAATTCCAATCCATCACCCAAAAAATGTTTTGTTAGTTTGTTTTTTTGCCTCCTATCATTCTATGTCTATATTATATGTCTATCACAGTAAAAACCCTGGTTCCTATTAATATTGGCATATTAATTCATTGGTTTGATCCCATAAGACACCTAAAATGCTTTCAGATTTGCTTTCACTGTACCACTACCAAAAAATTAAACAAAATCCCAAACTTCCTAAAAAGAATTTGGTGTTTGTTGACATTTCTTCCTCATACTCACACTGCCCATAACTGAGGATATATAGTCAAATACTATGAAAATATTACCTTGGATTAAACCTTCTTTTTATTTCTTCCTGTGTTTCCCTTCAATTTAGTTTTATGTTGTTTCCTTCCAATTCTTACCAATTTTATTTTTGAATATCCAGAACATTAATATATTTTCAAAGGTCAAAACTATACAAAAAGGGACACAAAAAATTATGACTTCCTTCTTATCCCTTTCATTCCATTTTCTGCCTACCTCATCCCTTATAAATAAGCAATTCCCATTGTTTTCTGGCTTATCATTCTTGTGTTACTTTTTGCACACATAGTCAGATATATTTATGTTTTCTTATTTTTACCTCTTTCTTATGCAAAATGTAGGATGTTATATATGCTTTTTTGTACTTTTTTTCACTTATCTCTTGGAAATCATATTAGTTCAGACATATTTCTCATTCTTTTGAATAACTACATAGTACTCAATCGTGTATTCATACCATAATTTATTTAACCAATCCCCTATGATTAAATATTTTGATAGCCTCCAATATTTTGCAAATATAAACGACGATGTAATAAATAAATTTGTGTATATGCGACTTCACATTTTTGGTGGTGTATTTTTAGTGTAAATCCCTACAAATGAGTGTTTTGGGTCAAAAGGTTAATACATATGTACAACCTTTATGGGGGTTATACTATTTTATATTCTCACCAGCAATGTACGGGAGTGCCTATTTTCCCACAGCCTAACCAATGGACTGTATTATAAAGTTTTTCAATGTTTGGCAATCTACAACATGATAATTAGTTCCTTGCTGTAGTATTAATTTGCATTTCTCTTGTCATGCAGAAACAGTAAAGTTGAACAACTTTTAATAAGTTTAAAGATCACTTTTATTTCTCTTTTTGGGAATTGTTTGTTAAAGGTTTTTTGCTAATTTTTCTATAGGATTTTTGCTCTTTTTTTCAATATTTAAAAGTCCTTTATAAATCGAGAACATTAATTTTTTCCCTTCAGTGTGTATTGGGAATATTTATTCCTAATTGGTCATATTACTTTTTAATTTTTCATATTAAAATTTTGTTTCTTTTTTAAATTTCAACGTTTATTTTCGATTCATGGGGTATTTGCACAGGTTTGTTACATGGGTGTATTGTGTGACACTGAGGTTTGGGGTACAATTCATCCCATAACCCAGGTAGTGAGCATGGTATAATTTTCTTTTTTGTGTGTTTTTCAACTTTTATTTTAGGTTTGGGAGTATATGTGCAGGTTTGCTACATGGGTAGATTTTGTGTCACTGGGGTTTGGTGTACACATGGTTTCATCACTCAGGTGGTGAGCATAGTACTAGATACATAGTTTTTTAGCTCTTACCCTCCTCCTACCTTCCCTCCACAAGGAGGACCCAATGTCTATTGGCTTCTTTGTGTCCGTGTGTACTCAATGTTTAGCTCCTGCTTATAAGGAAGAACATGCAGTAGTTTCCTGTTCCTGCATTAATTTGCTGAAGATAATGATCTCCAGCTGTTTCTTATTTTTATGTAATCATATATATATGATTATATAAATATATATATATTTAATTGTATATGGACTTTTACTCATAGTTAAAAATATTTTTTGTATACATCTGTTTATGTAATAATTCACCCATGCTTTCTTTTTCTGTTAATAACATATATATCTTCATAGCCAGAATTCTTTACTTGCTCTGGGTTGTCTATAGTTGTGGTTTCCAAACAGTTCTATGGCACCTTATGGTTCCACAAAAGTGAGTCAGGAGGACTGAAAATGACTAACTTAAAACATATTTTGTCAGTTAAAACCTTTAATTAAAACAACACATCCACTTCAATATGTCAAATAAAATGTTCAACATATTGAAGATCATTAATACATTAAAATGTGCTGCCAACCAAAATCATTTGGATAAAGCCATCACAGTATAGCTTCTCTTTCCATGTCTGGACACAAAATTGAATCTTTGGGAATATGTTTTTGATTAGAAAGGGTGTAGTTCTTCCCTGATCTATTTTTAAATTCTATCCTATGTATGTTTGCTAAAAGCAAAACAAAACAAACAAACTTCTACAAACCAGTACATCAGATGTGTCATGCTTAATTGTGACTATGCGAAGCTCAGGGATATCTCATCAGATGAGGAGCAAGTTAAATCTTAAAACATTACAGTGCAGGATGTCAGAGTATTGGTATTTGTGGAACTTAATGTGAGTTCTGAGTTCTTTTTCTCTGACTTTTATGTTAAAGCATACTACAAACATTGATTAAAAACCTATTGTGCATCAGATACTGCACTGGATCTCAGTTATAAAGCAATAAAGAAAGCCTTCATGATCCTTACACTTCAGGACTCCAGGAAAGACTCATTAAACAATTAATTATAATGAAAAGTGATGAGAATTATGATAGAAGAAGAATTATATGTTAAGGGATTATATCACAGAATATATAATCCATGAGATGTGGAAGGTTTTCCTCAAAAAAATACTAGGGAAAAATACTGAGACCTGAAAAATGACTATGAATAAGTAAAATGCCCTTAAATTGTTTTTCACATTGGGGTTTCTTATAGACTTTGGTCAAAATATAAAAGGAAGTTTCTACTCTTGATTAATAAGGTGCTTAAAGGATAGAAATCTAGGCCCCTTAAGATAATAAACAGAACCCCATAATCTTGAAGGCTTAGATTAACGACCCTGTCATTCATCACCATCACCCACTCGTATATGGCTAACTTATTACGTAAGACTTGTAAAGCTACTGAGATGAGAAATTATTCCGGATTATCCAGGTAGGCCCCCCATGTGATTACATGAATTCTTATAAAAAGGAAGCAGAGGGAGATTGGACACATACACACACACACACACACACACACACACACAGAGAGAGATGTGAAAATGGAACAGAGAAAGATTTGAAGCTGTTGGTGTTGAAAATTGGAGTGGTGAGGCCACAAGTTAAGGAATGCCAGCAGGCACCAGAAGTTGAAAGACACACAGAACATATTTGCCCATAAAACTTCAAAAGAGTATAAGGTTGACAATACCTTGAATTCAAACCAGTGAAACTGATTAAGGACTTCTGGTTTCTAGCCACCATCTTTAAAGCAATTTACTACCGTAGCCACAGGAAACTAGTAGAGTAGAAAGTTATTCATTTGTAATAGGAAAAATCTGACATTAGTGAAGAAGGAAGCCTGGCGAGGGAACTGAAGGAACAGGGCAGAAAGCTAATTGGTATTAAGTAGATGAGTCAATCAACAGATCCTAAAATAACGTGACAACATTGGGAATGGTGAAAAGCAAATGAAAATTCACTCGTAAAGTATCCCCAGCTACAATTATTGATGTGGGTGGTAAAGAAAATTTTACAAAATTTAGATGAGAGTAAATACAGTTTTATTGTCTTGTGGTGATTTAAAAAGGGGAACATCTAAAATGTATATATTTTAATCTTTGTATATGGGACAAAAATTGCTGCAATACTTAGTACTGGGCTGCATCAGAGTTGAACTTTCAGAGAGGAAAGCAAAGGCATTTTCTGCATGCAGAAACAATCCCAATTTCTCTGGCTCGTAACAAACCAGTGCTAAAGGAGAACTCAGAGGATGTGGCCGAGCCTTCTGGAGTCCTTTATCCTTCACTCTTGGTAACTGTACATTTGACTTCTGCTTGTTTGACAAGCAACTCACTACCACCGAAGGCAGCAGGCAGCCCCGACACACAGTGCTGCCTTATTATGCACTCAAACAAAAAATATTTGTGAAGTGCCTCTCTATATGTACTGGGTACTCTTTTGGTCCTAGGATTCAGGAATCTATAGGAAAGACTCACGGAGTGTTCCTTCTGGTGAAAGATCAATAATAACCAAGAAATCAAATACATTAGCAAAATAAAAATCAGATATTGACAGTAAGTGTTAGAAAGAAGTTTAAATATGGTATTTATTATTTATAGTGTAGAATATTGAATATTAAAACTCTGTGCTCAGGAAAGGCATCTCTGAGGAGGCAACATGTTTGAGCTGAGACCTAAATGACAAGTAAGGACCAGCTGCATAAAGGTCTCAGCCAAAGCACTCCAGGCAGACAGGTAACAAACAGACCCACAAGTGCTGAAGGGTGAGAATGAGCTTGGTGTGTTTAAGCAGCAGACAAGAGTTCAGTATTGCTGCCACATAGTAAAGTGAAACTTATAATTCTGTCTTGCCCCAGGACACACAACTCACAACCTGAGTAGGGTGGCTGTGTGTTAGAAAGAAAAAAGCACTGGTTTGGAGTTGAATGACCTGTTTTAATTCTTGCTCTTCATCTGACCAGGTATGTGCTCTTAGATTGTTCTTTGCCACTTTATATTTCCATCTTCTGATATTTAAGGTGATGGGGTCAGACAAAATCACTGATTTTCAAACTATATTTTGTGGAGCTCACTAAGGAGCCTTGCTGATGGAGCTCAAATCTCACCATCAGCTTCATCCAGAGCAGCACCGTGCTTGTTTGTATTTTCAAAGCAATTTTCTTTCAAAAAAGGACTCTGCAGGTCAGTCTAGTGTGGTGGCTCATGCCTGTAATCCCAGCACTTTGGGAGGCTGAGGCAGGGGAATCACTTGAGCCCAGGAAGCTGGGGCTGCAGTAAGCTGTGACCACACCACTGCACTCCAGCCTGGGTGACAGAGAAAGACCCCGTCTGAAAAAAAAAAAAAAAAAAAAAATGGACTCTGCAGGTCAAGAAAGCTTATAAACCATTAGCCAAAATTATCTATTTAATTATTCCAAACTTCAGAATCCAGTGATTCTAAGATGCTTTGGACTCAACAGAAAACTGTGGTCTAAATACAAAATGGATTCTCTTGTGAAGTAATAAGCTTCTCATCAAAGGAGTTTGGCAAAAAGAAAAACAAAATAAACAAGCAAAACACACATTTAAGAAATTCTGGGCCATGCGTGGTGGCTCACGCCTGTAATCCCAACACTTTGGCAGGCCAAGGTGGGAAGACAGCTTGAGCCCAGGAGTTCCAGACCAGCCTGGGAAACACAGGGAGATCCTATTTCTAAAAAAAATTTAAAAATTAGCTAGGCATGGTGGCACATGCCTGTGGTCCCAGCTACTTGGGAGGCTGAGGTGGGAGAATCACTTGAGCCTAGAAAGTTGAGGCTGCAGTGAGCCATGATTGCACTATTGTACTCCAGCCTGAGCAACAGAGCAAGATCTTGTCTCAAAAAAAAAAAAAAATCTGGGTTACATAAATGTAAATAATTTCTTTGTTGCAGACATTTTCAGAGCGTTAAATGAGCTAATTTTAAAATGAATTTACATGAGAGAAATACTACGTGCAGCATTGCTCAGACTTCTTAGTGCATTTATTTTTGGAATATATTATAAGATTAGTGTTTCATGGAACTCTTTATTAAAATTGTTTTCTTGTGATTCTGAGATATTAGGACTGTATGCCTTTATTATAAGCTCTAAGAGAAATAGGGTCAACTTTGTTCTGTTCACAGATACATTTGCAATCTTTTATGTACTTTTGGGAAGGCAATATTCTATTAATGAATAGTTATGGAATGGTTGACTGAGGAAACAAGTAGGAAAGATGTGTTTGTTCCTGAGGAAACTATAGTACTGTGGCTAATCTCTAATATCAACAAAATTACATTAAAACCCATGACATAGCCAAGGACCCAGTATTCTGACACTGTAACCCTAAGCTTCCTCCATGAGATTCTAATTTCTTTCAGGCTGCCAACTTAGCTTGCAGGAATCATTCATGTATTCAAAAATACTCTTTGAATATCTTATATTCTAGATACTTTAGCAGCTTTTGAGAAGAAATTATGAGCTTACAGTCTAAGAGGAGATACAGCTGCTAGTCAGATAATCAAAAATATACTTAGAAACTTGATAAAAACTATGTAGGAAACATGTAGATAGTTGTGATCTGATGTAGTGTAGAGGATCATGGACGAGGTCCTTGAGAAACAACATGTGAGATTTGAGAGCCGAAGACAAGGAGAGATTAACTACACACAGTAGTTGGAGGAGGAGAGCGATTATCAGTCAAAAGAGAAGCATGCCCAAGACCCTAGAGTTGAGCACAGGCAAAACAGGCGATGACAAGACCACAGAAGCTTGAGGAAACAATTGAAATGAAGTTGCTCCTGAGGCTGGGAACCTGGGCAATCCATCCAAGTTTTGTGGCATATTAAGGATTTTGTTTTTTATTCTAAAAGTAATGGAAAAAATAAAAGAGATAGGGAAGGGAGCATTATTATTATATTTACCTTTTTTTTTCAACAAATACTTCACTATACTGAAGTGTATGAAACAGATTGGAAGGGATAATTTTAAGGTGTTAAGACAATGATGAGGCTTAACCTGGGGTGATAGCAGTGTGAACAGTGGGAATAAATTCTAATAATATTTAGCAACTAAGATCTGTACTACATGGTACCATGTCGCATGAGAAATATGATGAAAACAATGGCTCCTAAGTTTTGAACCTGTGCCATTGTGCTAATGATAATGCCATTCAAAGGGAAAGTAGGGGGAAAAACCTGTTTTATTAGGGAAAAAAAATACAAGTGTTGTTCTAGACCTGCTGAGTTTGTGGTTTCTTTGAGAGATCCAATTAGAAATGTTAAGACTGAAGCCCAAAAGACAGGTCTGTACTAGAGATGTAAAATTACACATTTCAAGAATTAAAATAGTACCTAAAACCTCGGGCATGAGTAAAACATTTTGAGACAGAAAATACAGCATGGAAAGGCATGATATGCTTTGAAGAATAGAAATACAAAAAGAATAACTACTATTTACTGAGCCTTTTCTATGTTTCAGGCACTATCTTACACCATTAAATGAGTTATTTCTTTTACAAGAATACTTTGATGAAGTTAATGGTACTATCAGCATTTTTACAGAGTTGTTACATGTGCTGACTTTCATGGGTAATATGAGTTGGAGCCAAGATTTGAACTTGAATAGGCCCAATCCAGAGCCTATAGTCATCGTTGCTTATATTCAGATTATAGGATGAGCCAGTGGAGAATCACAGGAAACAAGATAGGAGGAGGATACCCAGGACCAAGGGTGCTCCCAAAAGTTGGAGAAGAAAGTTTTTAAGAAAGAAATAGGAATCAAGATCAAGGCTGACAGGTAATAGAAACAAAATGAATAATAAAAGTTGACTACTGCATTTAGCAACATGGTGATCCCTGGAGATCTATGTTGATAGAGGGATGGAAAAAAGATTTAAAGGGAATGCTGCAAATATATTCATTTATTGAAGAACTGACAAAAAGATCGAGGAAAATAAAAACTAGAATATAAAAAGCCATCATATGAAATAGCTCCTCTTTGTTGGAGGCAAGCAAAAACAAGACGAATAAAAATTAGTCATATCATTATAATGTTTTACACAGGAAATTTACCTAGAAGCTCCCTAAAGTATCCTCTGCATTCTCAAGCTAAATCTTTCTCTGTAATTCTGAGGCCAAATTTAAGTCATTTGTAAATAAAATAGAGATAATTTAGTGATCATTATGTATTGTTTTAGACTGGAATCTTTTGAGTACACTCAAAGTAGTTTAATCCAAAAGGAGAATTGGATATAGGATACAGAATTGGGAGGATATAGATATTTCATGGGCTAGGTAGGATTCATGAAGCCTAGAATCAGGAACTGTAAAGCAGGAACTCAGATTTCTCCTGCTGCTCATCATGTTTCTCTCCCATCACTTCATCCATTCTCTCCTTCTGCAGACCCCTTCTCCCCTTTGGTACATGTACATCCACCATAGCTCTGGCTTCTCACAGCCTCAATATTCAATTCATTAGGAATAAATTGGAGTCCCAAATAGCAGAAAAGATAATTAGGTGGGCTTGACTCATTTCAGGTGTTTTTTTTTTTTTTTCCAACCACTCTGTCTATTGGGAGGTGGTGTCGTTGTATTGTAGTCCAGTTGACAATGGAAACAAGCTAAGATGGAGCCATAAACAGATCCTATTAGAAGGAGTAGAGTAAACAAGGAAAAGATTCATGAAGGAAAGGAATGGAGTTTGGCACATGTATACATAGTAGCATATGCATATATAAACAGCATGGAGATTGTTTTAAAAGGCTTACGGTCCTCTGAATTTATTCCAGAATATCAACATTTCTTTTAAACATTTTTAACACTATATATCATGCAATTGCTTTATCATTTTTTATCTAGCCCTCTGTAATAAGCATGATTTCTAACCAAGTACTGTTTGGTAAAAGTAATTAATGTTATCAGGTTGGTGCGAAAATAATTGTTTTGTTTGTTTGTTTGTTTGTTTTGCCATTGCTTTCAGTGGCATTTCAAATGGCCATTACTTTCAGTGGCAAATACCACAATTATTTTCACGCCAACCTAATACTTGTAGAAAAATTAAGGGGGAAAGTCTAAGGAAGCAAGTCAAAATTCCTACAGTAACAACAAATGTTAACATTTTGGTATATGGCCTTTGAATTTAACTCTACATACAAATCCATTCATACAGTTGATCTTATACCCTGCATACTATTTTAAGGGTTTTTGCACAAACTAACAATTTTTAACAATTATTATTTACACTTGATTTTCTTTTATAGTATGATTTGTACTGTCTATTCACAATTTCATAAATTTGTGAACAAAAAACATCTGGTTATTCTAATTTGGCACTATCAGCAATGTTTGAATATAGATTAGACAGACAGATTTAGATACACATAATTTAAATTTTTATATACATATCTGATTATTTGGATTACATTTCTGGGAACAATTACTTGGTGAAAAAGACTGAAATATACTATATGGTTCTTGATAAGAATTACAATCCAAAAAAGTTACGTGAATTAACATTCTCCCTAATGTTTAAAATTTCTGTGTTTAAGAGGTCAAAAAGGCAAAAGCATCACCACCAACAACAAAACTAGCCAACTGAAAATGACAAAATATCTCATTGTTTTATGTTTCTCACAGTTACCAAGAGTGAATAATTTTAAATCATTATAATTCATTAGCCATGTTATAATTCATGCTTTTTAATGAAATCTTTTGAAGATTTTTTCCCCAACCTTTAGCAACTGCTTAGTCCTATAACCTAGATTTTACTTTCCTACAATATTTCTCAAAAGGAAAGAAATTCTGCTATGATATTCAGTTTAGATGATGGCTGTGGAGTTGTAGGAAACACAGCCAGTGGAATTACAAAAACTGGGTTCAGATGCAGGCTGAGATTTGTACAAACAGTGAGGTTCTTATTTACGCTCTCGTGGACTTCATTTAATTACTTAACAACATAGAAGCAAGACATCTCACCCTTACATAATAGGAGTCATTTCTTCTAAGAGCACGTTATACAGTGACATCTCTGTCTCATGATTTACACTTTTTCTTGTTCTATATATTCCAGAAATTCCGGATTTGTTTACTATTTTTAAATTTGCATTGCTCTTTCCCACTCTCAGGAATTTTGACAGGGTATTTCCTCTGCCTGAAATAATCATCCCCCAACAATCTTCTTGACTCTGACACATCTTCATTATTTAAATTTTATGTCGACATCAAAGACTTTCTTGAACCCTACCCCTGCTACTTTAGGTATATTTGATTATATTCACCAAAACTCCTGTATAATAATCACTGCATCTATTATTTTTCATTTTATCTATTTATTTATTTGAGATGGTGTTCTTGCTTTGTCACCCAGGCTGTAGCTCAGTGACACAATCTCGGCTCACTGCAACCTCTGCCACCTGGGTTCAAGTGATTCTCCTGCTTCAGCCTCCTGAGTACCTGAGATTACAGGCGCCCACCACCATACCCAGCTAATTTTTGTATTTTTAGTAGAGATGGGGTTTTTCCATGTTGGCCAGGCCGGTCTTGAACTCTTGACCTCAGGTGATCCACGAGCGTTGGCCTCCCAAAGTGCTGGGATTACAGGCATGAACCACTGCGGCTGGCCTATTTTTCATTTTAATGTCTGTGTTTCTTGCTAAGCAGTCAAGTTCTTCGAAGGGGACCATTTCTTTCTATTGTATTCTCAGCACGTAGAGTAGTACTTAATAGCCAATAAATATTTGTGTAAGTTGATAAGCAAATGAACTATTTTCTTCTTCTCAATAACATTCCCTCTTCATCCAAATTCCCTTATTTTATTTTTACTTCTTAGAATAGTTTGTCTTATTTGGAGGTAACCAATAAAAGACTATCCTTAATGATTGGACTTCATTTCTCTAAGGCAGCATTTAAACCTCTGGTGATAATTTAAATGAATTTAGATAGAAAAAATTTTTTTTTAACAGCTATAGATGAATTTTTTGTGTTATAACCTGTAAAGAAAGTAATGTTGGTTTCACGTTTTGGTTGAGACTTATAATACCCGCTCCTTAAGCTTTTCTCTTCTTCCTCTAGAGGTATTTATTCCCCACGTCCTAGCCCACCAACCTTTGTAATCTGTCAGAACTATGTGACTATTTCTCACCAAGGAGCTGAGACATTATGTGAGTCATTCCTAGGATAAAGCCAGTAATTGCCTTCATGAGACATTTCAGAAATATCTTTTTTTGCTATAACAACTGAGAAGTTCTCCTGTTCTTTCTGTTGCTAAGAATATTGGAGTCTTTGTCAGCCTGGATCCTTGACTGACTTCATACAGTAGAATTCCCCCTCCTCTCACTGATTCCCCTGGGATATCAAGAATAAGCACAATATATACAGTTTCATTCTAGACATTTTGTTTAAACAACAGGGTCTACATCATAGCTCACTGCAGCCTCAAACTCCTGAGCTCATGCAATCCTCCTGCCTCAGCCTCCCAAATAGGTAGGACTACAGATGTGTGCCGTCATACCCAGCTAATTTTTAAATTTTTTTTATAAACATGGGGTCTTGCTATGTTACCCAGGCTGGTCTCAAACTTCTGGCCTAAAGCAATCCTCACACCTTGGCCTCCCAAAGCACACAGGTGTGAGCCACCATGCCCAGCCTGGAATTGTTTATTACTTCAGTATAACCAAGTCTATTCTAACTATATCAATGACAATAAAGTATCCTTTAAACTTACTTATTTAATTTATATGAGGTGATTTTTGGAAATATTTTAAGCAAATAATAAATAGTTTGGTTTACTATATGAGCCAGAAATTCCACTTTTTGGAATATACCCCAAATAATTGAAATCAGGGATTTAAACAGATATATGTACAATCATGTACATAGATCATCATTTATATTAGCCAAAGGTAGCAATTACCCAGATGTCTATGATGGATGAATGGATGAACAAAATGTGGCATATACGTAACAACAAAATAGTATTCAGCCTTTAAAAGGAAATTCTGATACATGCTACCATATAAATGAAACTTGAAATAAGCCAGACACAAAAGAAAAAAACATATTGTATGATTCTGCTTATATGAGGTACCAAGAATAGTCTAATTAATAGAGACAAAAAGTAAAATAGTGGTTACTAGAGCCTGGCGAGAGGAGGTACTTGAGAGGTACTGTTTATTGGATTTGCAGTTTCAGTTTAGGTTGATGAAAAAGTCCAGAAGATGGATGATGATGGTTGCACAACAATATGAATGCACTTACTGCCATTGAATTGAATACTTTAAAAAGGCTAAAATATTAAATTCTATGTTATGTGCACTTTATCACAATTAAAAAAGACAGTTCAGGTGATTTCTATCTACAGTAGAACTCATTAAGATGATAATTAAATGTTGAGAAATATTGATTGGGAATAAGCATGAGTTTTGGGATCCAGCAGACCTTGGATTTGAAAAAGACACTTCCCCATGCTTGCTGAGAACCTCTGGCATTTGTTGACCTTTCTCGGCCTCACTTTCATTGTCTAGAAAATAGGGTCATTGTAAAGGGTCCAGGTAACATGCAAAACACTTAGAAGAAAATGGACACATTGAAGAAACCCAAATAATGGTTGCAGTTGTGCTGCCATTGTTTTTGTTATTATTAATATGTTTCAAAATGAAATAGGAGACTGAAGTGTTTTCTATGCAGTTTTTTTTTCACATAACATAAATTTGGTTAGAAATCAAGTTATGAAAAACAAGATTTTTGTCCCAGTAGAGTTATTGAATATTTCATCATTTTAGAAGTCCAATTTTCTTCACTCATTCTCAGTGTCTCCTGCCTTTATGAGATAAGGAACAGATTCAATTTATACTGTCAAATACTAGCTACCTAGCCATCTAGAAAACTACTCCTTTTAACCTTCTTTTATGTTTACCTTGCTGAAATATAGTTAAATGCTTTCAATAAAATATAAAACCAACAGACAAAACCTACCAAAGACTTCTGTTCCTCTGCATATAAGCAGACCTTTTGAGACAAATGAACTATTTAACTTAATAACATTTTACACACTTGACTTTGTAGACAACCTGTAAGTAAGCAGGGCCATCTCAATTTTGTTGAATGCATTTCTGTAGAATGCTTATTATGTGACCATAATATGTTTAAGATTGTGGGAAAGAAAAAAATTAAAAGGATATTTCTACACACCCAGCTCTCAAGAGGCTATAAAATTTGTGGGCTAACTGATGTTAATTTTCTCCTCTAAACATAGCCTTCACTGGTGAAGTTTAAAAGTAGGCAATAAGTGACTGAATTAATAAGTTAAGCCTTATGCAACACTCCCTAAAACAAAACTTGTGCTATGTAGTAAAGTTCCCATACAATATTATTGCAGACGTGTTGCCGCTTGGCTTCTTGCTTGTGTTCCCATTGTGCCACTGTCTGGAGGGTTCATCTCTCTTAAACACGCCTAATTTTATCTAACATCATCTCTAAAGTTCCCCTCTCTGAAGTCAGTGCCACCTATAGCACTCTACACTATCACCTTTACCATACAATTTTAACAGTAGATTGTATATTGTTCTCTGTTTGTTTTTTTACCAATGCCTAGAGAGAAGACATTCCTTTTTATCTAAATTTAAAACATCTGGAAGAAGAGAACTGCCCTCTCCTCTACATTTGCATCCTTCGTAGTTTCAGAACATTGATTTTCACAAATTAGACATTCAATAAATACTTGCTAATATGACTCAGTTTAGGTAAGTGGATTCAGCAAGCTTTATTCAGTCTTTCTGGTTACAAAGTGTAGTGACATCGCACTTTATTACTGACTTAGCAGAAATTCCACAAATGTTTAAGTTGTATTGGTAGTCTTTACAGAAAATTAGTATTCAATGTTTCTCATTTACCTAGGGCATTTTTGCCTTATTCTCCTTATTCCATGGGAGGAGTTTTTCATTTAAGTTAAATACATCCTAGGATACAAAGTTAAGAAAAGAAATTAAATTGATTAAACTAATAATATATTTATAGCATAGAATAACTATATTACAGTGCTAAATTAACATTATAATTTAGGGAAATGCCCTCGTACAATGAGAAATAAACTATACATTTTTAATGTATCAGCCCTGTCATGAGAAGTTTTCAGATTCCTAAAAATTTAATTTGATTACTTTACTATAGAATATTACTGTTAGATAAGCCTTTGTCCATATTATTATACTCTTTTTAAAACCTCTAGTTAATGACTACATGTATTTTGATGTAATACATAAAGTAAATTGATAAAGAAAATTTAGACCTAGTTTAGCAAATGAGAAAAAGTGAATGAACAGTCTTTCGAATCCACTCTTTTCAAATATCTACTTAATGAGGATTCTCAAAGGAGAAAATCCAGGAGGAAAATAATCTAAATTTTTGTTTGTTTGCTTGATTTCTTTTACACCATTCAAGAAATACCTTATCTAATTAATAACTCAACTATCAGATTTTTTATGTTTAGATAACTGTGTTTAAAATTACACCAGAAAAAAAGGAATTATTCCTTGAACTATATACAATTAAAAGGCCACCAATACACACCTTAAGCTTTAATGTTATCTCTATAGCTTGAGTATCTTTTTATTACAGGAGGGAAAGGTAATTATTCTATTATCTGTGATTTCCTACCTTTGTTTGATTTCTTACCTTTGTTCACATTTCAAAATTTTATTGTGCTGTAATTTATGTATCCACCTTACCTGAATATTATGTTCCAGAATTATGTGTGTTTGTGTGTTTATGTGTGTCTCTGTGTGTAAGTTTTCTACCAATAAACTGCAACTGTTTACATTATGGATTGGGTTATGCATTTAGATAATTTTATGGCAAACTAACTGAACTTAGAGAGTTCGAGTATCAGCTAAATGAATAAAATATATCAAGTGATGTTTCTATAACTAATATTAGTATTAATAATTATAATAATCATAGTAACAATAATAGATTATAATACCATAAAATAAATGACTAGCATACTAGGTATTTTACATGTATGATCTTATTGAACTCTCGAATAAATCTGAAATTAGATATCATTCTCTACATTTCAAAGGTGAGGCCACCATAGCTGAAAATATTAGGTAAATAGCTCACAAAAGGCCACACAACTGAGAAGTGGCAAAGCTGAGGTCTACGCTCAGATGTGTCTGTCTGCCTCCCAAGCACAATCCTGTCAGAATGAATCCTGATCAGGGCATATTTCTAGTAGGGAACGAACTTTTTCAAAGCTGAGTTGCCCCATATTGGACTGCCCTTGCTTTTCTTCCTATGTGGTGCCATCATTTCCTTGTTGTGCAATGCTTATACTGTAAAAACTGACACTTCCACTATAACCCGCGATGGTTGGACCTGGCTCTGTTTACCCGATTGAAAACATGTGCTTAAAAAAATGGCTCAACATACAAGTAATTGACTAGCCTTTAAAATATTCATTTGATGCACAAGTCTTAGTTAGTCTTCTACATAGTCCCTTCATTAGAACAGATGTGGATCAGAGATGATGGAACATAGGGTATCAATTAATATAAAAGTCCAAAAGGCAAAGTTTACAAATGGACATTGATAGCCAGATACACCAACCAGTCACATAGCTAGCACTCAGAACAACACTGCTGTCCCCATGTCTATGTATTTCTGGTGAGTTAGTAATTCCTCTTGTCTGTGGGGATTATCCAGCTGTCCTTTTCTGAAGTTGATCAAGAGTTTAAAGAAAACCAGAGGAAATCATTTCATCTCTCTGGCATGAGAAAAGTGAAATAAGCTCTGTCAGTAAACAGTTTTGGACTTCACAGTTTTCATCTCACTTGATTATTCGTGTCTCCTCAAACCTCAAACATGCAAATTGCCACAAATACTTATGGGGAATTCAGCTTAACTTGGAGATTACCCCTAATTTTTCTTTGATCTAAGTTGTGGCTTGTGGATCTTTCTGGACCACTTCAAACAACTGCTTTGGAAAGATTTCATGTGTGTGTCTGTGTGCTCTAACCTCTGATCATGTAGGTTTGAGTTGGTCCAACTAAACACTATCTTGGAATCTTTTCCTAGACTTTCTTAATTAACAAGAAACTGAAATTGACAGTCCCATGAGAAAACTAGAACTTGATAATTGAGAAAATCCATTCAATTTGTTGGAAGTAAATACTAAACTCAAATTATAATTCTACCTTTAAAGATTTTGTAACACTTATACCACTTTGGAAAATTTTACATGTAATATTCTCTTTCAGGGAGAATTGTTTCTGTGTGACATACACTTTTCAAAGAAGCCGTTGGAATAAAGGTAATGGGAATCTCAAGAATATAATAGCATGATAAAAATAATACCTTTTCTTCAACAATTTCTTAGTCTCTGCTTTGTGTCAATATCTGGATATGGATATGGGCTAGCAATAAAAATCCCTTAACTTGGATTTCAAAGGCTTTCACCACACACTTGTTTCCCCACTACTCTCCCACCTCCAATCTTCAACAGGATTTTCTTCCAGTTTCCTGAATTTACTATGCTTGCTCTTGCCTCCAAGCCTTTAGAAATGCAGATTCTTCTGCTGAGAATTCTCCTCTGTTCTTACCATTCTCTTTTGGTTGATTGAGTTCTACTTAGGCTTAGGTCTTTCTTAAATGTCTTTCCTCACTATGACTTCCTTGATTTTCCAATGTTGTATTAGTGTCCCACCTATATATTCCCATGTTGCCTGTTCTCACTCCATCAAAGGCTGTTTAGAAATAGCCTCTTTGTCTGTATTCCTCATTAGACTGTAGATTTCTTGAAGGCAAGGACAGTTTCTTCTTCTATTTACTACTGTATGCTCAGCATCTAGCACAGCAACTAATCCTTAGTAGGTACTTAACAGACATTTCTTTATTGAATAATGGTGACCACCATTTACTATATTTATTATGTGTTCAGAAACTGTTAGACAATTTGCCTGTATCTATTGCTCATATAAGTTATAGAATGTGTATATATTATTTATTTCATTTTAGATATGAGAAAATAGAAGCTTAGATAGTTTAAACAATCTATCCAGGATTCATGAATTCTGAGCAACAAAAACTGTGCTTTCTCTCATTGTATCACAGCACCTCTATGGATATAGTGTTACTGCTTATATTTCAACCTCAATTAAGCAAATAAGCAAACAAACAAAACTCCCCCTGTGAGGCACAGAAAGATTCTCAACTATTAATAATTTGCTTTGAAAGCTTTTAAATGAGATCATAAGATACTTATGAAGACATAATCATATATTTTTGCAGGCCCTTCCTAAGCATAATTATTTCTGTACTATCATTATTGCTCTGCAGTAGAGCATTTTCTTTCTCAAGAGTTGTAACCTAGGGCAAACCACCTTGAAAGAGATAGTCAAGAAGAAGTCAGAGATATGTTCAATAAAAGGTCTTGAGGTTAATCTTCTGGGCAAGCAGTGGCCAAGTGCAGATACTGCATTGTGGAGATTGCTTTATTCCCAGTTCCTTGCATCAGCTGAGCTTTTGGGATACTTCTCATAACAATAAGAACAAGATTTCTAGATTGGTATAGAATTTTGACTTTTACAAAGTGCTTTTATCCATATCATTTTGTTTATCAAACATATCTATGAAGAGGAAGATCAGTGTGATTAAACTTGTTTGATAGCAGAAACCTGATATTCAGAAAAGTCAAGAGAGTAATTAGAATGGGACAAGAAGACTTTCTGCTATAAGGAGGAGGAAGCATGACAGACCTCCGGTCCTGCTACTGGCTTTGGAATCTCTGTTTGTGCTAAGAATATGCCTCCCATTCAGCTGTTCCCAGCCAGAGGCTGAGTAAAGTGGAGCTACTAACGCAGATCTATTTCTGGGAAATATCTGATCTATCTGATGACTACTTTGGCTCAAGAACTCCCCAAAGGCTTTGCAGAACCTAACTCAGCCTGCATAGGAGTCTAAGACACTTTTACCTAAATTTTACTCCCACTCTCCTTCACTCAAACTCAGACTTGTATCTCAGGCTGATGGCTCTCTGACTCTTCTCCAGCTCCCTCACACTTCCAGTCATACAATCCTTTCCCCTAATATGGTGATCACATGTTTAATCATGTCATGGCATCTGATTCTCGGAGGAGTCAGACTGACAACTCATTCATTTCATATAACACATTAGATTTCAGCCTTCATGTCTCCTGGCCCAGTCTGTTGCTTGATAAAAGCCTGAGAATGTGCTTCTGCTCCACATTGTACTTGGTTTATTAAACAACTTCCATAACAAAATAACATCAAAGAATAAGTATTTAATATTTCTCATCATGCATGTCTGTTTAGTCAAAAGTGTTATCATAGTTCATATATTTTGGATTGTTTCTGGTTATATAAGAGATTATCTCAGCTCTTAGGAAATACACATTGAAGCACAAATGATAAAGCAAATTGAGTAAAATGTTAACAGATTACTTTAAGAAAAAGATATTAGGTGTTGTTTGTACTGTTGTTATTCTTGCAACTTTTCTGTAAGTTTGAAATTATTTCTAAATAAAATACAAAAAAAATTGATTTACCAAAAACTTTAGGCTAAAAAAGAAAAAACAGTGCAGAGAGGTACATATGTGTCTATCTTTTTATGTTTTTCAGCTGTGAAGATGTAACTTGTATTCCAGGACTCACCTGGCCCTTTCTGTATGCATACCACTCTATGAAATGTTAGCCTAGATTATTTTATTCCTAGCCTTGTGGACATCCACTGTATAGAAGCCATCTTTAAGTTCAACATTTGGAATGTTCATAGGCTTATCAATATGGCCAGACGTAGATCTGACTTTGTGACATGTTATCTATTAGGGAAAATCTGACATCAGTTTGTGGTCAGAGAGATAGAGTAACTTTTGGCAACTTTTCTCTTCATTCCTTCCTTCCATCCTTCCTTCTTTTTTTCCTTCCTCCCTCCACGTTTTCCTGAGTGAATTTAAGGATTTTTATTTAACTTATTTATACAAGTTATTATCAAGTTCCTATTTTGTGGTAAGATAGTCTATACTCCTCAGTTCTTGTCAGTCTAGCATCATGATTGGTAGTGCAGGCTTTAGAACTAGATTGCTTGGGTTCAAATTCTGAGTCCTTAGTAAATATAATCTTGGGCAAGTTACTTAATCTCTTTGGCTTGTTTCCTTACCTGTTAAGTAGGGATACAAATAATAGCACCTACAACAAAGAGCTGTTTTGAAGGTTAAAAACTGATGGCTGCCACTTAATAAGTTTACAACAAGTATTCTAACAATTATTTTTATTATCAAAATTGTTATTTTTAGTCATAGTACTCAGTGCCTCTCTTCATATCAAACTCTATGTCTGTTCCCAGGATTCGATGTAACATATACAAAGCACCCAACACATTCTAGAACATAAAAATAGCTCAACAAAGGTAGTTATTCTTTAAACGGAAAGAGAGAGCTGGTTAAGTCGGGTGGTCTAATGTAACTCTTGAGTCAACCCTCAGAGACAAACTCTCAGTATCCTATCAAAGCTATCTGTCTCTGTGTGTGTTCTAAATTTCACTGCAAAAGCAATTTTCCAAACACGTAATCAGATTAGGCTCTTTCATATAGCTTGGAATTCACATGTAGCCAATGGTTTCCCCTAATTTAGGTCTGACTCTCTAACATTTCCATCTGGTCTAGAAGTTATTTTCTTTAATGATCTTGCTGGAGACAATGATTCCACATAAATGAGTTTGCTCTTTGGCCATATAAGTTGAGCAATGTTCTGCCTGTGGAAAGTAACACCCATTTTCCACCACTTTGCCTTTTTGTATGTCTTTTAAGCTGCAAGCAAAATAGTTACGATAACTGTCCCTAGACTCTATCACGTTTCTTCCTGCTTCTTTGATTATTGTCTAAAAGTGAACTGGGAAAAACATAACTAAGTTCCCTTCAATAATTAGTTCATTGGCCAAGGAATAAAAATTGGCTAAGGAAAAGAATGAGCAATTCCAATCTGTCACTAAAGCCTTGTTATTTGGGGGTCCAGTTAACACCATTTTATAAATTAGAAGCAAGAACAGCTGGTGGATAAGTTGAAAGATACCAAGTGCCTTTGATTTTTTTCTAAATTCTGCTTCTCTTATTATTTTTTAAAGATGAAATTTTACTGTTATAAATGGTAATAGCAAAAGTGGTGGCAAAGTTGGAATCTGGATGCATAGGTATCATATGATAAAATAATACTGAATTAGGGGATTGTAAATCTGAGTTTTGTTATCACTTCTGTTATTGATTAACTGTGGACAAGTTGCTTACCCTTTCACATTTTCAGTTTCCTCATCACTTACATTGGAGTAGTAATATATCTTAACCCTATCACAGGTTACTTATGATTATTAAATTGTATAAATTTGTGTGAAAGTATTTTAAACAGTATAAAAGATTACAGAAATGTTTACTTTTTATGTTAACCACTCACTATTTATAAAATCTTCTAAATGCAGTATTGCATTAAAGCCATGTAGAGTTTCTACAATGACATAAGGGCATCATTATATTTCAATAAATTTATATTTTTTTCAGAAATCTTAATAAGAATTTTTTGCATAATAACTGATTGAAGGTTAGAAAATAAAAAAATCTGCATTAATCAGGTAAACTTGGAAATTATTATCAAAGAGAGAGATTTGAGGTGATAGAAATAGATTCTTGCTTGATATAAAGTGATGGTAATGGTAATGATGGTGATAAGATTATAATTATGACAATGGAAAAATAATAATAGTTATGTATCTATAGTACAGACAATTTTCGAAAAGCAGAAGTATATCTTAATAGTATTAGGGATTTATAAAACTTCTGAGAATAAATACATGTGAATAAATTTTATCTCCACACTGTCATGAGGAAACTGATGGTCAGATAGGCGAAATGCCTTGACTGAGGTCAAAGAGTAGTTAAGTGGAAAACTCAAGTCTTCACTTATTCGTTGGCTTATTAATTTGGTCATTCAGTTAACAAACACTGAGTATCTGCCACATACTCTTCAGTATGCAGGACACTAGTGACTCAAAAATGAATATGACATGCAGATCAAGATGTTCATAGTTTTAAAAAAAATGGGAATATAAGTAATTAAACAAATAATTATAACATAGAAGTTGAGGGCAATAATAGAAATAATTATAAGATATTATCAGGGGAGTGACACCAAGAAGATGGTGGGAATAGTAAGTCCCAGGCTTCATTCCCCCAAAGAAATGCTGATTTAACAATGTTATAGGGACCAAAACACCTTTATGAGAACTCCAGAATCCAGTTAAGAAGTTGTAGGACCCCAAAAAAGCATAAAGCCCAGAAGAGCTACATGAAAATGGGTAAGAATAATAATTCCACTTTACTTGTGTCAGCCCCTCCCCGAAGCCAGCTTAGCTGGGCACCAAGAGAAAACACCCAACTCAAGACTTCTTCCTCAGGGAGAAAAATAAGTCGAGTGTGTATCTGATGTTCTAGCATTTTGGAGCCAGAACTGTTTCTGTCTAACTCACTTACAGTATAAATGGTAAGGGTGCAGCTTCAATGTCTGGAGGATGCTAAGAACAAAGCAAAGTGCTAAGTGGTTTGCTGTGGCTGGCATGGCTTTGTGTGACTAGGAAAGGGTGCAACAGGAGGCTTCTCCACAGAAGGGATGAAGAGCAGTGGAGCATCCCTCCAACATTCCAGCTTTCAAGAGGCTGCCCAACGGACTGGCTTCTGTTTTGTTTGTCATGGAGCACTGACAATATCTAACAAACTCTGGATGCCTGACAGTCACTTAAAACAAAATAAAAGGCTTGAATTAGTATGTATTCACTTGCCAGAAATTCTCACCCCAGCTTAGCATGGCACAATTAGGAAAGCTCAGAGCCCATAGATTATCCCTGGAGAAAGAAAGAGAAGGCTGAAACATATATCCAATGGAAACATATGTCCAATGTATGCATAATGAACTGATTTATGTCTTGCCTGTCTTGAGTGCTAACTAGACATGGCCTACTGTAGATGCCTGGATGTTACTGAGAACAGCGACAACAAAAACCAGCTGGATGGTGTGCTGCTGCTTCAGAGAACCTGCGACACAGCAGACAGATGCCACAGAGAGTAAGAGATTATGAACTCCTGGAAAACTAAATCAGCAAATTTCTCTAATTAGGAATTTAAATGCATATCTCCAGATAAGATACAGTCACAGAAAGGCTTGAGAGGCACCTATGATCTCTAGTTCAACTAATTAGTGAAGATCAATTCACCAATTCATTCATGTATGAAGCTAGTCCATAAAGGCTGGGAGAGGTGGCTGTTTTTTTTAAAATGCACAGACATTAACCTAAATTGTCAGGGTCCACCTAGAAACAGGGAAACATGGCCCAAATAAAGAAGCAAAATAAATCTGCAGAAACTTACATAGAACAAACAGAGGCATACTAATTACCTGACAAAAAATATCAAAATAACCATCATAAAGATGTTCAACAAACTCATGGAAACCATACATTTAAAAATAATGTCAACACTACCCTAAACCTTAAAGTATAATAATAATAAAATTAAAAAATAAATAAAAAATAAAAATAATAAAAATAATGTCAACAAATAAATAGAAAACAAACAGAAATGTTGGAGCTGAGGAATATGATAATTGAACTAAAATGTTAACTAACAGTTCAACAGCAGACTTGGTCAAGCAGAAGAAAAAAAATCAGTGAACTCAAAAACAGTCATTTAAATTACACGAAAAGCAAAAAAAAAAAAAAGGCAGAATGAAAGAGAGGGAATAAAGCAACAAAGCAACGTTAAGTGAGCCAACATACTCATTACGGATGTTCCAGAAGGAGAAGAGAGAGAGAAAGTGTCACATGAATATTTAAAGAATAATGGGCCAGCCATGGTGGCTCATGCCTGTAACCCCACCACTTTGTGAGGGTGAGGCAGGAGGATCACTTGAGCCCAGGAGTTTGAGATCAGCCTCTACAAAAACAAAGAAAAAAAGAGAAAAAAAAAGAAAAAAAAATTAAAAATTAGCCAGATGTGGTAGCATATGCCTGTAGTCCTAGCTACTTTAGGGGCTGAGACTGGAGGATCACTTGAGCCCACAGGGTTGAGGATGCAGTCAGCCATATTCACACCACTACACTCCAGCCTAGGTGACAGAGTAAAACCCTGTCTCAAAAAAAAAAAAAAAAAAAAAAAAGGGAAAAAAGAAAAAATGGCTAAAAACTTCCCAAATATAGAAATGGAATTAGACATCCTAATTCAAGAATCTGAAAAATTTCAAATGGGAAAGACATATTTTAAAGTAGTTCCCCCTTAATTATGGTTTTGATTTCTGCAGCTTTAGTTACTCATGCTCAATCATGGTTCAAAACTATTAAATGGAAAATTACAAAAATAAATACTTTATGTTTTCCATTGTGTGCCATTTTGAGCAGTATGAGCGAATCCATGCCATCTAGCTTTCTCCCACCATGATATAAATCATCCTTAGGTCCAGTGTATCCATACTGTTTGCAGTACCCATCTATAAGTCACCTAGTAGCCAAGATTATAAGATTGTCTGTTGTGGTATCATGATGCTTGTGTTCAAGTAATCCTTATTTAACTTAATAATAGCCCCAAGGCACAAGAGCAGTGATGCTGGTATCGGATATGCTGAAGAGAAGCCATGAAGTACTTCCTTTAAATAAAAAGGTGAAAGTTCTCAACTTAAGGAAAGAAAAAAAAAGTTTACTGAGGTTGCTAAGATCTATCGTAAGAACAAGTCTTCTATCTATGAAACTGCAGGGAAAAAAAAAAAATTGTGTTAGTTTTACTGTCCCAACTCAAACTGCAAAAATTATAACACAGTGCATGGTAAGTGCTTAGTTAAGATGAAAAGACATGAAATTTGTAGGTAGAAGACATGAACAGAAATGTGTTCTATCTGATGGCAAATGGGTTCAGTTTCAGGCATCCACTGGGGGTCTTGGAATGAAACATATCCTCCACAGATTGAAAAGAACTACTGTAATCAGTAATCAAATTTCAAAAGGCAAAGACAAAAAGATAATTTTGAAAGTAGCAAGAACAAAGTAATTTGCCATTTACGAGGAAACTTCTTTAACACTAAAAGTGGATTTCTCAGCAGGAAACTTGCAGGCCAGACTAGAATGGAATGATATGTTCAAAGTGCTGAAAGAAAAATATCACCAACAAAGAATACTATCCCTGGCAAAACTATCCATTTGAAATGAGGAAGAAATAACAGACTACAAAAATATTAACAAAAGGAATTTAAAAAGACACAAATAAATGTAAAGACAGCCAGTGTTCACTGATTGTAAAACTTAATATTGCTAAAATGTTTATACTACCCAAAGTGATCTACAGATTTGATGTAATTCCCATCAAAATCACAATATCCCATTTTACAGACATAGAATTTAAAAAATCTTAAAATTTATGTTGAACCTCAAAAGACCCCAGATAGTCAATCTTGAAAACTAAGAGCAAAACTAGAGGAATTATATTCCTAATTTCAAAATATATTACAAAGGTACTGAAAATGAAACAGTATGGTACCAGCATAAATACACATATAGACCAATGGAACTGAACAGAGAACCCAGAAATAAATCCCTGCATATACAGCCAACTGATCCTCAACAAGGGTTCTAGGAATACAAAATAGGAAAAGGACAGTCTATTCAATAAGCAGTCCTAGAAAAAATAAATATCTACATGCAAAAGAATAAAATTGAATCTTTGTCTTAGACCATACACAAAAATGTATTCAAAATGGATTTAAAACTTAAATGTAAGACCTAAAACTGTAAGACTCGTACAAGACAACATAAGGAAAAACATTCTTGATGTTGGTCTTAGCAATGATTTCTTAGCTGAAAGCATAGGCAACAACAATAATAGAAGCAAAATGACAAGTGAACCATATAAAAACACAAAGCTACTACATTGTAAAGGAAATGACAGAGTGAAAAGGCAAACCACGAAATGGGAAAAGTAGTTTTGCAAATTACATATTTGATAAGGGGTTAATATCCAAAACATAGGGAACTCAACTCATACAACTCAAGATAAAACAACAACAACAATGAAACCCAAAAATGAATAAATAAACTAATTAAAAATTGGACAAAGAACATGAATAGGCATTTCTCCAAAGAAGATATGCAAATTACCAGCAGGTATAGAAAAAGACTCCCAACGTCATTAATTATCAGGAACGTACAAATCAAAATCTCAGTGAGATATTGCCTCATAACTGTTAGAATGGTCATAATAGTAGTAGTAATAAATAAATTAATAAGAAGTGTTGGCAAAGATATAGATAAACTAGGACCCTTGCTCACTGTTGGTGGGAATGTAAAGTGGTACAGTCACTGTAAAAAATAGAAGTGCCTCAAAAAATAAAAATTGAATTACTTTATTATTCAACAATCCCCCTTCTGAATATTTATCCAAAAGAATAAAAATCAGGATCTTGAAGAGATATTTACATTCTTGTGTTTATTGAAACATTATTCACAAAAGTCAAGACATGAAAGCAAACTAAATGTTCATCAATGAATGAATGGGTAAAGAAAATGTGGCATATACATACATATGAATAGAACAAAATATTATTCAGCCTTAAAATAACAAAATTCTGCCTTATAATAACAAAATTCTGCCTTATGTGACAACATAGATGAACCTTGAGGACATTATGCTAAGTAAAATAAGCTATTCACAGAAAGACAAATACTGCATGATTCTATGCATATAAGGTATCTACAGTAGTTAAACACATAGGTGCATAGGGTAGAATAATGGTTACAAGGGGCTGTGGGAGATAGAAATGAAGAGTTGCTATTCACTGGGTATAAAATTTCAGGTATGCAAGATAAAAAGTTCTAGAGATCTTCTCAGTAACACTGTATTTGTAGTTAATAAAACACTGAAAAAATTTGTTTAGAGGTTCGGCCTCAGGGTGTGCTTTTTTACCAAAATAAAAAAAAAAGAATAGAATAAAAGATATCAGAAGAGAACAACTCAGTTATCTCAACTTTTTTCAGTATAATATTTTCACAATTAGACTATGGACTCAGGGGCTTCTCTGCACCAATGTAGATATACATGGGTTACAAATTTAATTTGATGTTGTTCTTACTCAATATTTTCAACTATTTTTATTTTCTATTTAGTAATAATAAAGTTTCTCTAGACTAGTCAGCAGAGCTACAAACTTACGGAATACTGTCAAGTATGTTAGTCACAGCAACATCCTTTCAAAAGACAGCTCTGAAACTGGAAAACAAGGAATAATCCTGACCAAACATTTTTTTTTCTCCCAGGACATCTAGTTAGCTATCCCACCCCTATTTCCCCGAATAATGAACTGTTCCTTTGAAAAAATGCATCTCTGGGAATTCTACAAACCTGAGTCTGAGAGGATCACTGTAGCTGGAAAGCAGCCTTAATCATCTAACAACAATGGAAACCATACAATTAAATGTGAACACAGAACCCAGAATCATTATGTTTGTGAGACAATTTAGTATCATAGAAAATGACCAAAAAATCCAAAACAGAAATATTTACCATGAGGAGAAAAGCAGAGATTATTTAAGAAACATACAACAGTTAAAAGAGCCTTCTAATTAATATATGTAGAGGAAATTGAGAGAATATTAAAACCATAAAATGAGAACTGCTGTGATGAGGGGAAGAAAGTACAAGAAATCACTATCAGAGATTAAAAATATGATTACAGACATTTAAAAAGAAATATCAATAGAAGATCTTAAATGTAAAGATAAGAAAATCTCTCAGATATATAATAATAGCAATAAAAACAGATAGAAAAAAATAAGAGGATAAGAGACAGTGAGGCTCAATTCAAGAAGTCCAACATGATATCAATAGGATTCCTTGGAAGAAGCAAAAGTAAAAATAGAAAGAAAATGATGAAACAGGAAAAGATGATAATTTATTTGTGGTTGACAAGATATAAATCATCAGACTGCTAGGACCACTGAGAAACTTGTACATAAAAATAATAAAAATAATGAAAAACAAAATTCCAACCTTCAGTGGATCCTTGTGAATTTCAAAGCACTGATACTAAATGCTTCCAGAGAGAGAGAAAGTGGGAGAAACAGTGAATATAAAGCAACAAGAATGAGATTTTATCAGTTTCTATTAATCATTAATGATACTAGATGCTAGAAAACAATGGGAGCAACATCTTTAATATTTTTGGGAAATTGATTTTCACATAGTGTTGGATACATGGCTAAAATATCAATAAAGTATGATGATAAATCAATATTATTTTCAAACACGAAAGTATTCAGAAAGTTTATGTTCCAAATACACTTCCTTACAAAGTTCCTTTAGGATTTAGGATATACTGTAGTAACTATACAAACATGAAAAGGTAAATAAAAGACAGAATCTGAATTCAGCCTAGTAGAACCATGAAGAGAAGTCCTCGGATTAAGCCTGAGTAATCAGACTAACAATCACTAGGCCTTATTGGTGCAGGGGTACAAAAGCCTTCAATAGACAGAGATGCAGGGGAGGGAGAAAGGTACTATGGAGGTAGGAGGAGTCAACTGATAGAATAGAAAACATAATTGGGATCTCAAGTGAAATTATAATATTTTAAAAACAAATGATGCAAAAGAAACATAAAAAATGTAATTAGAAAGTCTGAAAAAAAAAACACCATGATTATTATGAAAACAGGTAATGGCCCAAATATGAAGTCATTTAAAATATCAATAGATTTCAGGCTACTGACAGAGTGCAAAGTAAAGAAAGAATTAGAATTAGTTTAAACGTGTTTCTGGGAACATTTTCCTTTAGGCGGCCCAAAGTGTCTTGACATTAGATTCCCACAGAAGGAAATTTATTTTTGTTCCAACACTGAAGGATACTTATTTAGTCATACTAATGCAAATGCTCTTAACTGATTTTCAACTTTGTGGCTTTTTGTATTCAAGCAATGCACAAAGTCACAAAGAATTGACTTTGGTTATAGAAGATAAACATGAAGAATTTTGATCATACAAAAATAAAAATGGAGCTATCAGATGATAAGTCTCAGAAAGCAGAAGGAAAAATAGCATTAAGAGATAATATCAAAACTTTATGGAATAGAACCAGATATAAAATTATTATATTAGATTGCCATGGTAATCAATGGAAAAGATAAAACAGTAATATAAATATCAAACCTTGTTATTAGTAGAAAGGAAGAACAGCAATCTGGCATGTGAGCTGAATACTTATCTTCATATAATGGAGTCAATAGACATTATCTAAAGTTGATGAATTAATAAGATATATTATCTACAGTTGCAGAAAATGTCACTAGAAAAATTAAAAACAGAAACAAGAGAGACTGCCTCTGGGTCTAGGGCTGGGGATAAAAATACTTTTTATCATAAAGTCTTCTTTACCTGTTAATTTTTTAATCACTATATATACAACTTGAAAGCAAAAACAAAACCAAGCAAAGAAACAAACCTCAACAATACAGCATTTCCTAAAGTCTGTAGTTCAGAATATTACATGTACAATGACGAAGGTGGGTAAGATGAGAATAGATTCCATTGCTAAACAATTTTGGTCAAAGGGTATAACCTTACAGTTACAAGATGCATAAATCCTGGGCATCTAATATATAGCATGGTGACTATAGTTAACAATACTGTATTGTACACTTAAAATTTGCTAAGAGAATAGATCTTAAATGTTCTCACCACAAAAAAATAAATAAATAAATGATAACGAGGTGATACTGTTAAGTTTTGTGTCCCCACCCAAATCACATCTTGAATTGTAATCCCCAGGTGTTTAGGGAGAGACCTGGTGAGACTGATTGGATTATGGAGGAAGTTTCCCCCATGCTGTTCTCATGATAGTGAGTGAGTTCTTACAAGATCTGACGGTTCTATCAGCATCTGGCATTTCCCCTGCTTGCGTTCATGCCACATGTGTTCGTACCGCCACGTGAAAACGTTCAGGTTTGCTTCCTCTTTCCCTTCCACCATGATTGTAAGTGTCCTGAGGCTTCCCCAGCCATGTGGAACTGTGAGTCAATTAAACCTCTCCTATTTAAAAATTACCCAGTCTCAGGGAAGTTCTTTATAGCAGTGTGAGAATGGACTAATATACTAGGTGAGCTGATACGTGTGTTAACTAACTTGATTGTGGTAGTCATTTCAAAATCTATGCATATGTCAAATCATCACATTGTAAACCTAAAATTTAAACAATTCTATTTGTCAGTCATACTTAAATAAAGCTAAGAAAATTGAGCTTGAGAAATATTTTCTATTTGAAGATTCAGAATGCATAATACCATACTAAAACTCATAGAAGATTATATGTAAGAGATCTAGTAATTCCCAAACTTCTCTGACCAAGGATCCATTTTGTTGCTTCTAATAAAATAACTACTTTCAACCCAAGGAAGAGCTGTTTTTCAAAACTCACTTTCGGAAACACTTTTTAATAAAAATCTACTCAAAGAGGAGGAATTATCATGAAACTGACATTTTCCTACTTGTAGTTTAGTTTTAAAATGTAAAAAAGTATTTGTAAATGATAAGCAACAGTTCATCACTGAAAATGTTTTTTTCCTTTTAATTCACCTAACCAAGTCTTCTACTTTTAAGCATATTGTTTGATTTTCTCTCTCTTACTCCAAAATACTATATTTAAAGGTAAATAAAAGCATGGATCTGTCAATTTTGATTACATTAAAATTATATCCCTAAACTTCTAGTAAATTCTACAGTGGACTTCTTAACACTACCCCTTGTCCTCACACCCCAAACTCAATCCTTCTGAAGATATTACCTTGTTAATGTTTATCTCTCTTCACTTTTTCCATATTATTCCTGTATTTTATTCCCCCACTCCCCACAGTCAACCAAAAAGATCTAGGAACAACTTCTACCATCCTCCTTCCTGTCCCAACCTCTAACCCAGTCACCACATTAATGAAAACATAATCTTAGGAATATGTATTAAGAAGACTATACTCATCATCTTTCAATGCCTCCTCCCTGCCTACAAGATAGCATGATAGGCGAAACCCTTTTTTATCTGAGAACAAATTCTCTTTATAACCTTGTATACTATACACTTCCCTTGAAAGTTGAGAAGAGTATTCCTTCTATATTACCTCTCTAGTAATAGGGAACCACTCTCTAGAGAGAAAATTATGTTTTTGTATATATTATTCTACCATCATCCCACCCTTCTCCCATACCCATTTCATTGTGTCTACTTGACAAACTAATTCTTTTCAAGGCCCAGATCAAGGGTCACCCTTGCTTAGAAGGCAGCAAGGAAGATAACTGATACTTGGTGGGTTTCTGCTGAGCACTGGACTAAACACAGATCAGATAATTAGTCATAAAAACAGTCAGGTCCAGGTTGAAAATGGAGGCAGCTGTGCCTGCTGGGCTTCTCAGCTGCTGAGCCAGTCATCCCCAGAGCTGGGGGCCTCTGTTGAGTGGTGCCCAAGGCAAGGAGGGCTCAGCTCACCTGTGGAATGCCCTCATCTACTGTGTGGCTCCTGGGATGGGACTGAGCTTGCTAAATGTGTTCCTGAAGTCGCACCACAGAGAGCATGAGAGGCCTGAGTTCATTGAGTTCATTGCCTACTCCCATCTCCCGATCAAGTTCAAGTCCTTTCCCTGCAGAGATGGTAACCACACTTTATTCCATAACCTTCATGTGAATCGGCCTCCAACTAGCTATGAAAGTGAATAAAGAGAATCTGGGCCACTACCCTGACACTGGGGACCAAAGCAATGGTTTGGACCATTACTCTGCACACAGACCAGAAAAAGTACAGGGAACCTTAAGCTCACCTTCTTCACTTGTATCAAATGATGACTACTATGCTGATCTTCCATCTCTTAGCTTTTGGTGGGAGATGGCTTAAATAAATAACTTAAAATTAAACAAAACAAACACAAAAAACTGTCAAGCTATATTTCAGAAAACAAAATTGAGGAATTAATCAAATTGCCCCAAATTACATAATTTGTAAATGGCTGAGTGGGAATTCTGCCTGGTTTTAAAGCCCATTGATTTCTACTTCTGTTTCCATGCCCCCTTCACATACACTAAACATAGCTGTCAGCATACCAAATTGCAATAATTTGTTTATGTGTGTTTGTCACCTATTAGGAGCCCCATATTCTAGAGGTCAGGGATCCTAATTCTATTTTGGTATTCCTACAATGCAGTGTTTGGTTTATAGAAGGGATTTAATAAATTATTGTTAAATGAATGAATAGATGACTTAAGATAAAAATAAGAAATTTTCAGAATCAGAAAATGCTGCTATTTATCAAAATTGGACTTTTTTACTACTCTCCTGGTAACTTGTGATGACATATTAAACATAAGAAACATAGCAGCATTTGTATTTGTCCTCCACTTGATTTTTGACTCAGTTGATGTTCCTGAAATTACTGACATGGGTTAATCCATATGAAAATTTAGACAGAGCTCCCAGAAACCTAATGGATTGTTTAAGATAACTCATTATTTGATTGAAATAAGGTTCATAAAGGGAAACAACTTTTCAGTCACGGAGCTAGCAAAATATAAGGCTGGGACTTGAACCAAAGTACTTATTTTGCCAAGTCATGTTTACTTTCCTTGCCAATATAAAGAGAGAGTTTCATAATACTTTGAGACAAGTATAGAGAAATAGGTTCAACCAGATTTTAGCACAGCTCAGACCAAATGGAACTGTTTATGGCTATGTGTCATCAGATTGCAAAACAGAAGGAATCTATTCTTACTATTAAATGGCCAACTCCCACGAGAATCCATATTTAATAGTGCATGTAACATTCTATGCTTGGCTGATTATTTCTCTTCACACATAAGAAAGCATAATTGATGATAGGTAAGAGAGGGAGAATATGGTTCAGATTTAGAAAAAATAAAATTGGTATTTAAGTGTTAATTAGGGTACTTAGCACTCTTCTAAGCATTTTGCAATGTTAAATCATGTACTACTTCTCAACCCTTTAAGGTAAGTGCTGTGATTATATCTGTATTACAAATTAAAAAAAATAAGGCTCAGAAAAGTTAAGTAAGTTACCCAAGACTCATGATATGTAGGAGGTGGGTCCTAGAATCCACTCTGTCAGGGACACTGCAGTGCCATCTCTCAGTCATTACTTCTGTTTAAAATAATCACTCATCTTCCTTTGTGTCGAATAAAACTCGGCTGCTCTCAAAAGGCAACAGTTGCTGAGGCATCTGAGATGGTCGGCTAATGCAATCATCTACAATATTTTCCCTTAGGCGGGGCCTCTCAGAGCAGCCTGAGAGCTGAGAAGCAGAAAATGCACAGAAGATGAACCTTGGGAACCATCTGAGTTCTCATCCTCAAGAAGATGGTTATATTATGGAAAAGATCAAACTGACTGTTATGCTCACATAAAATTAATTCCACAGTTGTTCTTTAACAATGAATGCATTTGAAGTCTAAAAATAACCATTGTAAATGAAAACAGTTGGTTTATTAGAGAAGTGGGATTCTAGATTTTCCCCTGCTCTATCTCTCCTGTTTGTGTGTGTGTGAGTGTGTTGGCTTTCTGTTACTCTTGCAATGATATTGTTTATTAGATTTTCCCCTAAAATTATTGTAAATATTAATAATACTTAAGAAATAAATGCTTCTATTTTGTGTCCCCAAAACTCCAAGAGGAGGAAATTACTAAGATAAAAGAATGATGGTTAATAAAGTTTCAGAAGAGTCTTAAAATGCAAATAAAACATTTACATGGAGAAAAGCAATGTCTTTTTAGTGCACTAAGCAATTTGCATTACAACTTGGAGCAACTCATCTTCTACATAGTCTTGCTTACAAAAGCTGAGTACATATACAGCAATGGTAGGAATCTAGTTTTCATTATGAAAACTATAAAAAATAAATGTGTGAATATAAATGATCTATTCATTGGCAGACTTCAGGAGTCCTGAAATAAAAGCCAAAAAGCAAGATGGTGTACAATAATATTGCTTTTGAGCATTGATTTGTGTGATATTCTGGTGCTGGCAGGAGTTCCTAGTTATTATTGCAGCTTAACAAACATACAGCAAAGAGAAAATTTGGCAGTTACTGTTCACTTAGAAGAAAGCTTATTTCTTATTTTTACAATATGTAGCAGCTGACAAAGCTGTAGTACCATTTGTACATTCTTCCAGTAGATAGCGAACAGGTACCTACTATGTATGAGACATTGCACAAAGCGTTGGGAGTAGGATAGGGGAGTGAGTTGAAAGAATTGTCAGAAGATTTTGTGTGTGTGTGTGTGTGTGTGTGTGCACGCGCACATTTCATATCTTGCCCTCAAATGACCTTCAAAATGTTAGAGACAAACAAACACAGCAGACGTCCAAAACTCTATTTATGATGCCTTCTCTGCTATAGTTTTATACTTCTCTCACTCTCTTAGTTGAATCTCTATTTTCCAACAACATAGAGAGCTTCACTTCCTTTCTGATGGCTTTTCTTGACAATTTTCAGGTAGAATTTGTCAGAGGCATTTGAACCAGAGCAACTCTATCTTGAATGGAGTAAAATAAGGCTGAGACCTTTTGGGCTACATTCCTAGAAGGTTAGGCATTCTTAGTCACAGGATGAGTTAGGAGTTCTGCATGAGATACAGGTCATAAAGACCTTACTGATAAAACAGGTTGCAGTAAAGAAGCCTGCTAAAACCCACCAAAATCAAGATAGTGAAGAGAGTGACCTATGGTCTTCCTCACTGCTCATTGTATGTTAATTATAATGCAGTAGCATGCTAAAAGACACTCTACTCTCACCAGGACCATGACAGTTTACAGATGCCATGGCAATGTTAGGAAGTTACCCTACATTGTCTAAAAAAGGGAGGAACCCTCTGTTCCGGGAACTGGCCACTTCTTTCCTGGAAAACTCATGAATAATCCACCCCTTGTCTAGCATATATTCAAGAATCACCATAAAAATGGACAACAAGCAGCCCTCAGGGCTATTCTGCCTATGGAGTAGCCATTCCTTTATTCCTTTGTTTTCTTAATAAACTTGCTTTCACTTTACTCTAAGGACTCTCCTCGAATTCTTTCTGGCAGGAGATCCAAGAACCCTCTACCAGGACCCCTTTCCAGTAACAAAAGTATCACTCTCTCCTTTCTGTCTCTTTATTTAATAGGGACTTTTTGCCACCATATATTTAATATATTTACTTGCAAATATCTCAATCTGCTACCATTGGATTATAAGCTCCTTGGTGGCATTTCTGTACCACTAGACCTCAACAAAATGTCAGGCTCATGGTGGGTGCTCAATAATATTTGATGGTTACAAGAATGAAATATTTATAATAGAAGGCAGATGGTAATTTAGATTAAAGTAAGAGCCAGCATGATGGGAATATGGAGATGGGAATGAATTCTAAAACCGTTGTCAGGAGAAAAATAGGTTTTGATGGTATGACAGACAAAGAAATCACTCTACAAGAAGAAAAAAATCACAGAAGCTATTATTAGTGAAAAATAGTCATGCCAAGCTTACGGTAAACATTTTTTTACAGGACCAAAGAGTGAGGGATGGGCAGGGGCTGTTTTCATCTTGTGTTTACTTCTTTGCATATTCTCTTTCTCGTCTTTCAAGAATTGAGTAATTCTGATTCATTTGCATTATCTGATCTTTTAACTGAATCTTCAACTTTGTTTTAATGAGTATTCACTGCTCTTTCTCACATCATCGGTTCTTTTCAGAAATCTCTTTTTAATTTTCCTGTCTTTCCTTTCTCTCTTTTTGGTCCCACTTGGAAAATCTAATTTCTGCATTCACATTAACTCCCATCTACATTAATAACTCACAAGTGGAACTCTCCACATGAATCCTTCTCTTTCCTCTGTACTCGCTTATATCCAGCTGTCTCCATTATCTTTTCATCTCTGTATTACTTCTAGTCTTAACTGAACGTAGCAAAATATACTAACTTCTTCTTCTTATTATTATTATTATTTTTGAGACGGAGTGTCATCCTGTCGCCCAGGCTGGAGTGCAGTGGCACCATCTTGGCTCACTGCAACCTCTGCCTTCCAGGTTCAAGCGATCCTCCTGCCTCAGCCTCCTGAGTAGATGGGACTACAAGCACGCGCCACCATGCCCAGCTGACTTTTGTATTTTTAGTAAAGACAGGGTTTCACCATGTTGGCCAGACCTGGCCCACTTCTTATTTTTTTACTCTTAACTTTCATTTTTCTTTCTCTTCTCTGCCTCTGTCAGTGACTATATCTCCTCCATTTCCAATGCTTATAATTTGTATCATATTTGATCCTTAGCTCTCATTTATATTATTCATGTGTTTCAATTCTATAACAAATACAAATTGAATTTAGGTAACCTTACACAAAATCTCTTCCCTATTAGTGTAACCAACAGCATAGGTGAACATATACTAAACACCCTCAATTTTGTAGATATCATACTTGACTGTAGGTATTTTAATAGTTTATATTTATTGTATTCCTTCTCTATCAACTATCTATCTATCTGTTGTATATCTATATCATCCATGATTATGAAATCATTATTTTGGCAAGAAGAAAAGCTTGACTTAAAACTAGCAGCTAACTGTCACAAAACCCATGCGTATTATTCCATAACAGGAAACAGTCCTCATTTAAACAAGTGAATAGGAACTGTACTAGAGAACCATAGATCTGTGATTTTTAATTTATTGTTTTGTTGTCTGGCTTTCCTTTGTTATTTTCTGCTTCTTAAAAGTGCTTCAGGGTGACATTACAAATGGCATAAGTTATATCAGGAGTGTTAGAATGGTTGTATTTATTTTAGGAGCCTATCCCATAGACAAAGAACAGGAATGCCTCTTTCCAGACGTTTATGAAATAAAGGAGAGAGCCATTGATGTGTGCAATTGCTTCTCATTGTTTCTTTGCAAGGAACAAGGTAGTATGCAGGTAATTGTGGGCTCATTAGGATCAACTAGAATGGAGAAGGATTAATGACTGTCAAGATTTTTAGTGAGTTCTGTACCAGAAATGAAACTCACAGAATTTTCAAAAAATGCCACTTTGCCCTGTTTTCAACAGAGCTAAGTATTTCACACACCACAGACAAGGGGAAGAAAAACAGAAACAAAAGACAGATAAAATAACACTTTGCAACCTGAGATAAAACAAAAAGGACAGCATCATCTGGTTAATTCTGATCCCCCAAGCTAATAAAACCTTGGAGATTTCCCATAAAACTGTACTACCATAAAACAGTTTTTTCTCCGATTTTGCTATGGTGATGTCTGAATATATGGCATGGCATGAGGTTTTTTGTTTTTTTTTTTTTGAGACAGAGTCTCATTCTGTCACCCAGAGTGCAGTGGCACGATCTCTGCTCACTGCAACCTCTGCCTTGCAGGTTCAAGCGATTCTCTTGCCTCAGCCTCCTGAGTAGCTGGGACTACAGGCACCCACCACCACGCCCAGCTAATTTTTTGCATTTTTAGTAGAGACGGTGTTTCATCATGTTAGCCGGGATGGTCTCGATCTCCTGACTTTGTGATCTGCCCACCTCGGCCTCCCAAAGTGCTGGGATTACAGGCGTGAGCCACCGCGTCCGGCTGCCATGACCTTTATGAATAGGAAAATCATGTGAGAAAGTTTCTGAACGTCCACCACAACCAGACTAACAGACATTTTGGTAAGCTTCATTATTTTGTGGTGCTACCTTTAAATATTTGTGTATTTTATTTGGCCGGCCGGTTGGCCAGCTTTTCTAAGTGCCTTGCACCATCTGCAGGTCAACTCTTTCATTCCTTTTCTAAATGCTCTTTTAGACATTGTTGACAAATTATACATTATGAATTGGGCATCACCCACACTGTTGGTCTGCCTTGGAAAACTTAAACTCTCCTTCTCTCTGATCACCAACTTCTGAGTTCAGATTTCTCATGAAATTCTTTAGTATCTCTGGACCTTCAACCTTACGTAGACGTCCTGTCAAATAGTCCTACAATTAGGTCTCAGTCTGCCTTTCTGTTTTGTTTTCTCCTTTAGGTGAGACAGGAAGACTACAGCAGGCTGATGCCTGGTATTTGCCTTTTCCCAGGTCCGTTAGACTGTGGGAAAACCTAGTGGGTTAGGTTCTGGCAAAGTAGTTTCCCTTGAGGACAAGCCTTGTTAAGAACAGAATGCTCTGGGAATATTTTGAAATGGCTACTCCTCTTGTTATCCCACCCTGTTTTGTGAAGCCTGTGAGAACATGCCTGGTTTAGCTCTTGAAGGTAAAACTCACTAGAAGGTGAGGGCACCCCTAAGACGGCCCCCCACCCCCAGAGTTTTGAACCCTCCAACTTAATCACATTGAGTCTCTAGCCATTCATCCATTACAATTCAGGTTTTCCTACCCTGGCACTCGTTCCTGCCAAGATTTCTGGTCCTAGACTTCTGTTCTGGTAAGCTGTGATTCTCTGTATCTGCTGGACTGTTTCTTCAATTCTGGGGGTGGTGGTATACCCCGTGACCTCAGTTATCTGATGGACTTAAGAAGAGTTGTTGAATTCCATTTTGTTCAGCTTTTTTCTTGTATTGTCAATAATAATGACTTCCAAACTCCAAATTCCTCACAGCCAAACCAGAAATTGAAAGTCTGACATCTGGTCTCTAGAGCTCCCTGTGTTTGCTTCCTATTCATGATCTCTTTTCTGTTTTCTCTTTCTTCTCTATCCAACTTAGCCTTCATGCAATGCCATTCCAACCACTCACCTGTACAATGAAGCCTGAATTCTGAATCAGTCCGCCTCTTTGACATCTCTGCCACGAGACTACTGAGGAACTTTAAAGAAAATTGCAAGGCTTTCAAGACCTGATGCACGCCCCTCCCTCAGTATTTCCATACATTGTTCCTTTCTCTATCAGTCTCTTGACACCTTAAGGGGACACATCTTCCTTAGCCCCTTCTACCGAAGTGAACTTGTTGATTCTGCTTCTTAAGAACATCTCTTCTCTTCCCATTTACATTTACCATTAATGAAGCTATTGTTGGCATATTGTTCTCTGCTCTGACTCTAGTAATAGCCTTCTCCATGGCTTCAGTCTTGACTTTTCCAATCTATTGCTCTACATTGTGGCTAGACAGATGATTCTAATACATCAACTTAATTGTGGTGTTTCTCCCAAAAAGTTCTTCATTCTTCACTGTCTTCAGAATTTGGTCCGTACCTGAAATGGACTCAATATGGTTTTCCAAGCCCCTCATGATGTGGAGTCTTCCTAGCTCTTCAACCATGGCTTTTGTCATTTAGCCCTTTATTCTATTGAACCATGTTGTTCACAACCTCAGTTTCCAGAAGGGATGATGATTTCCCACATCTTGGAAAGTTCGTATGAGCTGAACTCTTTTATATAATATCCCGAGTTAGATTTCAATCGTTCCAATAAGAATCACCCTCTAAGACGTGGTTACTTCTTTGCTCTGCCTTAGAATCTTGTTTTTTTTATTATTATTATTATAGAATGCATATTTTACTAAATTGCATTTGCTTCTTTATCTTGTCTCTTTCCCATGAGGAAAAAACCTTATCTCTTATTTATTACTGTATCCTCAATATCTAGCATAGTGCCAGTCACAAAAAATGTATACTATGAATATTTATAATGAGTGACAAGAGACTGCCATATGGAATTACATAAAACATGAAACTAGGTTTTTGTCTCTATATTCTTAACCTGCTTGCTGAACTTATACGTTTATGTTCTTACTATAAACTGTAAGCTATTGGACTCAGCAGAAGTCACAAACAGCCAGACTGCAGGCTGAATGTTACCCACAAAACTGTTTGTTTTGGTATTGTCCATGCTTGGGAGAAAATAAAGCCAATATTTAGAGAGGAAGAGATTAAAATTCTAATGTCCAATTGATCCTAAAAATTAGAAAACCTATAAACACAGATCCAAAAAAAGCTTTGTTGTCAGTTAGATGAGAGCATGCATCAGTGGATGTTTGTGTTGTCATTTACAAACTTGATGTTATTGGGGAAGTTTTTCAACTTCCCCAATTCTCTAAGCCTTAATGCACTTCTTATTCACCAGGTCCCATCCAGTAAAATTCAACATAGCTCTCACATTCTTTCTCTGCCATAGGTTTACCACTTGAGATAGAAAAAAACCTTCAGCTTCTCTTCTTTGCTCTTCACCTGCACTCTTCTTATTCTCAAAAGTAAAGGAGCCAGGTGTGGTGGCTCACACCTGTAATCCCAGCAATTTGGGAGGCCAAGGCGGGCAGGTCACTTGAGATCAGGAGTTTGAGGCCAGCCTGCTCAACATGGCGAAACCCCATCTCTACTGAAAATACAAAAAATTAGCTGGGTGTGGTGGCATGCACCTGTAATCCCAGCTACTCAGGAGGCTGAGGCAGGAGAATCGCCTGAACCTGGGAGGCAGAGGTTGTAGTGAGCCAAGATTGTGACATGGCTGTCCAGCCTGTGTGACAGAGCAAGACTCCACCTCAAAAAAAAAAAAAAAGGAAATTCCAAAGTGGATTTTCAAAGTCCACGACATTTGCTGGGAAATCTTCATTATTAGGTGTGACCAACCCTCCATGCAAAGTTTCTTATTTCTTCCTTCTTTACTCGAAAGGGTCAACAGATCCCAGCAAACCCTGAATTTAGTGCACATTTTCATATACCTTTTCTAGTCTTCTCTTTCTCTCTATAGAGATAGATGGATGTATAAATTGAACAAGAGCTTGCACCTCAGGCCAAGTCGGATATTTTTTTCTGGCTATCTTTCATCTTTTTTTTTTCCCCACTACTAAGGTACCTTGTCTTAAGCTATTGACCTGGTGTCAGTTTGTATCCTAAGCCAGTTTGGTCCTAAGTATGAAGGAAAAACACACATTTTTCCTTTCTATTTATCTGTTTAATTGCTGGGAGCAATGGTAGGAATACTTTGAACAGGTCTTTCCTCACATTACAGTGACCTTGATGTATAGAAAGGTGAAGTAGACAGAGGCTTGCAAATATATATCTAAAATATAGGTATAGCTTTCAGGGGCATTTAGAAAAACGATGACACTGAGACACTAGATTCCTATATTTAGGAAGGCTGAAAAGAATTGGTAGTTTAGAGGAACAAAGGGAAAGTAGGGCAGTTTTCCTTACAGACTTTGGACAAGGGCAGCTATTCTTCTTGTGGACGTAAATTAGATGCCCAGGGGAGAATTCACACTTCACACAGAAGCATTGGTCACAGGATTTTCAAACACTGGTTCTTAGAAGAGCTTTATTGTCTTATCTTGTTATTCCATTCTCTATTCTGTTTCGAATCTACTCTTGCAGGCTGGACCTTCAGCTATAGCTATGGAAGGCAGTAAGCCACAGTGTGTGAGACTTACGGTCCTTGGGTTTATTCTGAATAAGAGGAGATTTCACAGATTGATTGCTCAGTTTGTTTGTTTGATTGTTTTACTTTTTTTTCTAGATGTCTCTCACTCAACCCCATTTCCATCATGTTTGTCAACTAGATCTAAGAGAACCGTATAGGGCAAGTAGGATCCAGGTTTAGCAGACGCGGTGGAATTTTTGTGCTGCCATTGAAGTGTGAAGGCTAATCAAAGCCTTGGAAATTAACAAGCATAAACTAATAGAATGCAAGGGCTTGGGGAGGAATTACAGGCAATAACATATTTATTAATGGAGTTTTGAATGCATAGACCTGGGAACAATTGCAGAAATACTGCGGAGCTAAAGGCTCTTTTGAACTATCTGAGAAAAGCCCATGTGATCATAATGACTGTTCTGAAGATCAGACAACATTGTGCCTCAGCTTGGGCAACATAACAATATCCCGTCTCTACAAAAAAAATTTAAAAATTAGCTGAGCATGGTAGTGCATTCCTGTAGTCCCAGCTACTCAGCGGGGAGCTGAGGTGTGAGGATCACTTGAGCCCAGGAGGTCGAGGCTACACTGAGTTGTGATCGCACCACTGTACTCTGGTAGCCTGGGTGACAGAGTGAGACCCTGTCTCAAAAACAAACAAACAAACAAACAAAAAACCCACTCTGGCCTTAGGAAACTGGTATGTATTCGATGACATTTTAATAAAGTGAAACTAAAAGTAACTGCTTTTTTCCTCTCATAGTCTGTATGTTTTATTTTGCTAGATAGGAGTATATTTAGATGAAAACAAGAAAGAAGCATTGCCTTTGCTTGGGAAAGTCTATTACTGCAATAATTACATATCATACTAAATTTTGTTGGCATGGGACTGGGGTTCCTCTACACTTACATGTCTGTGGAATCACTGAACTCCGGAAAAATGAACATAGGAGACTACGGGTTTGAGTCTTTCAACATTAGAGGTATTCAGAAGATAGGCCTGTTCTAAGGGAAAATGACCCACGATGTAACTGCTGGAGACATGGCCCATGCTGCCTGGAATGAGACTGCTTCTGGAGGAATAATCAAGGACAGATTTTGGCATTCCTAATACTTCAGGGGTGAGGAGGAAGATTTATTTAAATCTAGATTTTTGAAAGTTTTTTGGGGGAATTTATGAAAGGACATGGGGCAGTTTATATTAGAGCATTTCTCAGTGGAATATGGCAAGACGTAATTTAAGAAGTAGAATTAGAATCAAGGAACATGAAGTTTTGGCTTATTTTACAGTGTGGATTTGAAGTTAATTACTGTCCTTACTCATTTAAGGGACTTGTGAGATCTTTGGTTAAACCTTCCATCTCACTGGACATAGGAAGTTACAGAAATACAGGACAATGATAAGATCTTACTTGCAACCAGTGGAAATAGAGGCAAATGTTTCTTAAAACTCTAATAGTATCCACATCTAAGGAAAATATTTATATCTCTGAATTATTGATCGCAAGAATGGCTGCTAAATGGAGCTGGGTTAACAGATGAAACCACGTTGCGGGAATAAGGGCAGCAGGCATTGGCCTCACTCTGTGTGCTGCCTCTCTGCTCCTTCAGCTCCCAAGAGAAGGGGAAAAAATTGCTAATCTGACACATTCTAGAATCCAGTACATTGATTGGGAGTCACACACGGCTTAAAAAGTTGATCACTCTCCTGTGGCTCTATCTGTGTCTCTCTTTTAGTTCCTGTGCTTGCTAAATGCCTGAGTTCATAAGTTGATCCAAGGCCTCTCTTCCCTCTCTATGTGTAACTCAAAGCTAGTTATTGCATTGAGTTCCTGAACCACACAGAAGCTCAAATACAAAAAAAAAAAAAAAAAAAAAAAAAAAAACCCAGTCATTTTTCTTTAGCAGGGGACAAAGAGGCCCATTAGATCTTAGATCCTAAGTCATATGCTCCAATCCAGCTGCACCAGAGTTTTACATGAAGGCATTGGGAAGTAGCCTAATGAGTTAGCACAGGAGACTTTCTTTTCCACGCAGCTATTTTTTCATGTATGCCTCACTCCTTTTAGGAACTTTTTTTCATGGAAGCTAACTGGAAAGACAGTATTTCTCAGTCCTAATCAATTGTCCTCAAGACCCCAATTATACCACAGACTCCTTATACTCCTTATACATTTATTCTTTATGGGCCTAGACTTTGCTTTACCTATTCTTCAGCATAGTGTTTTTCAAAAATTCCCTCAGAAGTATTTCTGCTGGTAGGGATGATGAATACATACCCTATGTCTGAAAGTAAAGGACAAAGCAAGCTATCACTGAAACAGAAGATTGTCTGAAGTTCCATTAAAAAAAAAAAAAAAGACAAAACCATGATTATTTGCAGCCACAAGATACATCCAATTTGTTTCAATAAATTATATGTTTTAAATTACTTATTGCTGAGTAAAACTGATTCTGCAGAGGAGGTAAGGAATCAGGCTTTGTAATGAAGCAGGCTGAGTTTGAACCCCAAATTCCTGTTTGCTGGCTATATGACCTTGGGAAAGTGAGACTACCTTGAGCCTTGATTCCTTTAGGTATAGAAAAGATAAGAAAAACAAAAACCCTACCTTACTGGTATAATGTGAGACTAAGTTATTGGATATATTTATAATGTTAAAATGTGTGTAAATACACATGTTATAATTACTTTAAATATGTGTGTATGAATATTTTTTTGCACATCATATACCTCTAGTTATCTGCCTTCAGTTCCCAGGAATAGCCTTGTTTTAGTTTGAAAAGCATAAATCCAATGATGAGGCCCATTTCTGGAATATGCATTCTCTCTCCCAGGACCTTGCTCCTCATGCACAGACACAATGATTTATTCTACATTTGCTTCAAAGAATGAAGCAGAAAGGCACTTTCCCAAGTTGCCTCTCCCTAGGGAAATGAATTCACAGTTTGTTTTTGGTTTAACTAATCCCTTCTTCCTCTGGGCTGTTCATTTTTGTTTCTCTTTTTAAAAATCTTCCAGCTTATTCCATGTCTTCCAGCTATTTCTGCTGTCCAGGACACAATGATGGATTCTAATACAGCAGCAACAGCTGAAGAGTTTCACATTTTCCTCTGGGAGATCCCATTGGTTGGTGAAACTAAAAATGAAGACATTTTAGGCATTTCCCTAAAGTGCTTCTCTACCATCCTTAGGGCTAGTTTGTTTGCCCACACTGCTTGAGCAGAGGTCTGTTAACACAATGATTGCAAAACATCTGGGGGAGATATTTAGATATAAGGGGTTGCAGGGTAGCTTTTATTGCTATTAATGAAAACAACTCACCATTTGGCACAATAGCCTATGCCTTCTGAGTGCTGTACATAGCAATGCCTGATTGCCCTAGATATGCTTTGTCCCAGGATTCACTGTCAATTCAAATAATAAATAAGTAACACAAGCCATACAGATTAGAGGGAAGGATAATTGTCCTACCTAGTCAAATAAATGAGGGGCTGGCTGGGACAAAGAAGAGGAGAACTACAGAGGTATATGTTTTCCACCCCAATGGTGCCATTTTCATTGTTATTTTATCTACACTACAATGGGTAAAAGGGAATATCTAGTCACAACACGGTCATAACAAACAACTAAAGTGTTTCCATCCTCATGGGCCATAGACAGTTTCCTTTCAGTACTTCTGACTATGTTTCCCTCACTACTCCTGTAGGAGGCTTTGGATGGAATTACTTCACTGGAAGAGAGAAGAGTACGTTAGTTTCATCCTATGGGGAGAATCAAAGAACTACCAAATCAATTCAACATGTAAATAGAGAAATAAAAACTGCAGGGATATTCCATTTCAGGCTGAGAATAAGGGCAATGCATTTTGCCAATCTGAAAATCATATCAGCAATATTAATGGTTCTATCCCATTAAGTGCTTACTGTGTGCTATTCACCATAATAAGAAATAAGCTTTTTTATTTAATTTCTTAACATAGTTATTTTTAGTAGGTACTATTATTTTTATCAAAATTAGAGAATTTAGTTAATTTGCCTAAGGTCACAAAAGATTCCATGACAATTCCTCATAAGTAAGTTCAAAACAGGTCTCACATCAGTTATTCATTTAATTACTTTTGATGTGGCAGATTTTGATAAGCAGATGTGTAATAGTTTACAAAGAAAACAATCAGGAGCTTTCCAGCAAAGTGTTACCACTTCTACCCTGACTTAATCACAAGACTCTGGAGACCTTGAAAGGAAGGGAGTTGGAAATTGAACTGAACACATAAAATTTTGTATCACACTGTACTGAATTATTTATTTACATGCTACCCCCTCCACACAAACACACACACACACAAGCCCACTTAACAATGAGTTGCTGAAACAAGGACCTAGTTTTATTCATCTTTGTCTGTCCATATCTGTCTGCCTTATTACAAGCTCAAATGAGATCATGTTTAAAAAATTATAAAAAAGAAAGAAGGGGGAATGAGAGGAATGTAATATGTCTTCGAAGGATTATACAATGCTAGCAGAATTACAGGTCTATGTATCATCTCACATTTACTGTCATTTTTGAAGAAGGTGGGATTATCCCAGTTATAGAGACAGGAGAATAAAGGTTTAGAGAAGTTACATAATTGAAGAAGGTCATTTAGTTACTGTTTGATAGAACTGGGACAGGAATCTACTTTTGCCAAATGCTTGGTCTATTCACTTTTTTTTTTTTTTTTTTTTTGAGACAGGGTCTTGCTCTGTTGCCCAGGCTGGAATGCAGTGCTGTGATCATAGCTCACTGCAGCCTTGAACTCCTGGGCTCAAGTGATTCTCCTACCTCAGCTTCCCAAGTAGCTAGGACTTTAGGTGCGCACCACTGTGCCTGACTTTTTTTTTTTTTTTTTTTTTTTTAACATTTTGTAGAGATGGGATCTCGCTATGTTGTCTAGTCTGGTCTCAAACCTCAAACTCTTGTCCTCAAGTGATCCTCCCACCTCGGCTTCCCAAAGTGCTGGGATGACAGGCATGAACCACCATGCCTGGCTGTCTATGATTTTTCTACAACATAAGGTTGAGTATGTAAATTTTTACCACCATTAGTCTTATATAATTATGGTTAACTTACTTTTAACTTTGCTAAAGGTTAGGAGATAACTATTAGGGCCTGTAGATTGGTGAACTATTCATTGCAAAAGATAATACAGAATAAGAAACAACATTGAGATATAGGGTGCAATGATATATTTGTTTTGGCCTGCTGAGTTTTAGGCTACTATGGGGAATGTAAAAGGAAATGTTTGATAAGAGCTGAAAATATGAATTCAAAATTCAGGAGGTAAATTTGTCCCAAAGATGGAGGCTTGAGAAGGGATTATAATTGTGGCAGTTAAAGCCTTGGGATACAATGAGTCCCTGAAGGAGAAAATATAGGTTGAGAATAGTGCTGAAGGTTAGCCTGTAAGAAATGAGAAGAGAAAAAAATTTAAAAGTCTAAAAAAGAAATTTTGAGAAGAGCTATCTAGAATGGAGAAGAACCAAGACAAACATGCAAAGAAGATAAAAGAAAAAAGAGTTTCAAGAAAAAAAAAGTCACAATATATAAAAGTGAATTAAGAACCAAAATATGCTCATCGGATATATGACTTAGGAATTCTGCTCTATCAACTATTGGATATTTCGAAGTTTTACGGTTATATCAGAATAACTAAGGGACATGTGAATTGAAAGAATGTTTTATTTAAACATGTCAATAAAAGAACCCCAGTTTCTACTTAGAAACAATGCTTAATATGAATGGAGTACAATTAATATCATGAAAGAAGAGTCATGATCAACTCTCTTATTCTGACATTTTGCTTTAATGTATTTATCATCACCTGATATAACATATATGTATTTCTCATCTACCTCCTGACAGTGGATGTAAGCTCGTAAAAGGAGGCACTTTATTTCATTACTACTGCATAGTCAGTGTCTAGGACAGGAGTTGGTCAAATGTAGCCCACCTCTTGTTATTATAAATAAAGTTTTATTGGAATACAGCCATGCCTGCTTATATTGCCTATGACTGTTTTGGCAGAGCTGAATCAATATGACAGAGACCATATGGCTCACAGGCCTAAAATATTTACTATCTGGCCCTTGACAGCAAAAAAGTTTGCCAACTCCTGGTCTAGAACAATACTTGTCTATAATGAGTGCTCAATAAATATAATTGATAAATGAGAGAATTAATAAAGACACTGTTCTTAATTATTGAACATATGTTGACAAAATTACTTAACCTTTCTAAGCTTTGTTTCCTCATTTATAAGAATGGAATAACAATAATAGTAATATATCTTAAAGAACAGAAGTGAGCATTACATGAGATATACATAATTAGCAAATGGTAAAATTAAAAAACAAAAATACTTGTTCCCTTCCCTGTCATTCCTTAAAATGCTGTCTGTGAAGGTAATTTCACGGTCTGCTGACTGGCTACGTGTGTGTTCAGGACTTGCCTGAATCACTCTGCTTGGAGCCCCTCTGGTCAGCAACATGAAGACAAAGTAATAATATCAATTCACCCAAATAAGATGTTCTTCTGTCCCTAGCAGTTGTGAGACTCGGACTGCTCTAGCATGACAAAAATGGTGGAGTCTAAGGAAAGTCACAGGCCCCCAACTTCCAAGTCATCCCATTCCTTTAAAGTCATTATTTCATTATTAACATTATGTTGAGTGTGACAGAAAGAGAAGTAGATAATAAAAAGAGACATTTGGGATTGATATAACCACTGGCAATGATTTTCCAGGACACAGACTTTCACCTCTCTAATTGTTCCAGGAAAGTCCTCCATTATTCACGGCATTCTCTGCAGTGTGGTACACTGTTCAATGCACTTGTCAAGACCATTCAGTCTCTTAATTATTTTTTTTTTAAATTTGCTAGTTTTATTTTTTAATGGCTATTGGATATCCAATGAGGAAGGTTATTTTTAATGTCACTTAGCTTTCAAAAAGTACTAGTAATGAAAGCTATTATAAGCTTTTGTTCTTAAACATATACACCCTCAACCAAGAGAGATATTTTCTATTTTATTTTAAAAAGGGACTTGAACATTAAAATTGAAGCCATTACAATTGGCAGGTACTAAGTAAGAGAAAAGAGATATACAAATATTTCCATTTTCAAAAGGATTTTAATAGTTAAAAAATAGAAAGGACAGTATAAGAACAGGAAAAAGTTAGAAAAATAACATTGCTATTAAATATATGTGTCCAGCTCTTTATCATTTAGGTCCCAAATGTCCATATTGTCTGAGGCAACCTGAAGTCACATCATACATTTCACAATCCCTATATTCTGTGGATATCAAGACATTTCCCTACTTGAGTAAAGAAATATGCAGAGAGATTCTGTGTTTTGTGACACATTTACCCACTATATGTTAAGCAATACAAAAGTGGCTGGGAAGACCGTAATACCACCTCAAACAAAGCTTACTATAATTTATTTCTTTAGAATAGCATTAGAAATGTTTTCAAAGTTTGACTTTTGTCCAGTTAATGATACACACTTTAATCAAATTTAAATGAGATGTAAACAGAAGAAAGGCTTGCCAATACATTTTAAAGATAATTTATTTTATCCTTTTGTGTTTCAAGATAAACTATTTTACCATCTGAAGTTTAAAATTTGTAATTTTAAAAAAATCGATGTAACTTTGATCATTCTCTTGTTTCTAAATGGTGAGACAAGATTGTCTTTAGGGTGCTATTTGCAAGCATTTTTCTCCAAATAAAATATTTAGGGTGTGGATAGACTTTGTTCATAAGAAATGAAAAGATAAATTGTATATAAAGACATTTTTCCCTTTAACAGTGACTTTGAAGTGTTAGAGACATCCTGATGTGTCACAGTTTTGATCAAATAACCATAATTTGCAAACCTAGTAAATGCTAGATCACTGTGAATTTGCAGAACGATTTTCACTTTTGTGATCATGATTATCTGGTTTTTAATTTGTTTCCATAGTAGAGATGTTACCAAACAGTCAGGCTACTTTGGTTCAAATTCTACTTCTCCCTGACCTTGGAAAATAATCTAGCCTCTTCAAAGTGCAGTTTTTTTATCTTTAAAATGAGTATAATAGTACCACATAGCTCTGAGAATTGTGAAAATTACATGAATTAGTTCATGTAAAATAAGCAGGGCATTTTAATACTTATTTACCATTTCTTTATGGTATTATGGAAAAATCACTGAGCACCACCTAATAAGAAGTTGGTATAATTTCCACTTTTAAGACTCTTCACTGCATAAATCAGTAAACTTACCAGCATCTAAGATTTTATTTTTAATATTGAAAATATCTACGAAAGAGGTTATGCACAAAGATTAAACTGTATGATGAATGTGAATTAGCATCCTTATTGGCCCATTGTAGTGGTCCAGTGAATAAACATATAATGTTTGAACAATGAATTTAAACATGTAGTAAGTTCATGTTTTAAAAAGTATAGTCAAATTTATGGGGAACTATAAGACAAACACACTTAAAAAGCAAATGGCAAAGTGGAGATAAGTTTTGCTATAAATATAGTAGACAGGTTTATAATTCTTCTTTTACAAAGAGCTCTAAGAAATTAATTGAAAACTCCACTGAGACTGGAATAGAAAAATGGGCAAAGAAGCCAAGAAGGTCATTCTTTGAAGAGAAAAAATCAAAAGGCAAATAAATATGCAAATATCAACCTCACTATCTAAGAAGAAAAATGATGAATTTTGGGGGGATTTTTTTTGTCACCTATTACATAGTGCTTTCTATGGTGTGGTGGTTCTATCATATAGTCCAATTAGTATAACCTGATAAGACCTTTCAGCATCATAACCTTTAGAGAGAAAAGGCTGGCAATGTGTGTCCAGATCTTTAAAAATGGCTACAGCTTTGGGCCTGGTAAACCATGCAACTGAAACAACCAGAGATGCTAAATAATTGTCATGAATAAAGTTGTTCATGCATTCATTTTTAACAGGAAAAAAGAAAACTCAGTATGCCACCAGACAAAATGATTTTAAAAATAAAGACTATTTAGTGAAACAAAATGCTTATATAATAATGTTATGTGAAAACAGTAATTTGAGTTCACCTTTGTATGTATATGTGATTGATTATATAACCAGTTTATTAATGAGCTGGACATCTAGAGGCTCAATCAAAAAGAGCTTTACTTTTCCCTGTTACTGTATTCAATCTGCTATGCCAGCTCTCCTTTCCACATCAACTGAACAATATTTTTGGCATGTCACATAGCTCTTCAGCAATTCTTATTTTCAGGAATTGGGAAGTCCAGTTCACAACAGCAGAGTTAGGGAAAACATTATTATGCCTTCTGCTCCTATGAAATTCATTCAGTAAATTTTCTTCTCTTTTTTTATTACAATAAAATTTTTAACTCTTCTGCATATAGCTTGGACGTGTGTGATGGATAGGTTAGCTAGGGATCCTGGAATGATTTTGGATACCTCTCAGCAAGCTTGGAGGTGATACATAAAGCACTTCTCAGAACATGTGGGGTTTTGTCACCTATTGTCCTGAGCTGTGGTGATGAATCCAGCTCCTCTCTTTAGAAGAGTGGGGCACTTCTCACCTGTGGTACTTACCTTTGAGACATTTGTTAAAAAAATCTAAGATGAGAAATGCCTTCTTATATTCTTTTAATTTTGGAGTTGCAGATGATTTCTGTTGTCTTCTTGATATTGTACCTTATGAGTTTTCTACAGTCATTCAGTTTTATATTCATAATTATGAGAACAAAGCAAGAAATACTGAGTAATTCCATTCTTCTAGTACCAATGTGTATTATTCACATCCCATAAAGTACATTATAATCTGCTTTAGGTAATGATCATTTGTACTTTCTATACGAATCATAGGTACTGAATAAAATCACCGTTTAGAGAAAGGTCAAGAGAGGTAGATAAAAATCAATATTGATCACAGAAAGAAAGAAGGAAGAAAAATTAGACTAAGACGGGATTTTATTTACCCAAATAGTAAAGTGATATAACTATACTTTTATTGCTACTGCTGTTTCTTTTTTTCTTTATTTCAACTTTTAAAATAATGTGCAGATTTGGATATGGATATATTGCATGATACTGAGATTCAGGGTATGACTGATTCCGTCACCCAGGTAATGAGCATAGTATCCAACAGGTCTTTTTTCAGCTCTTCCTTTCTTCCATCCCCACTCCAAACTACTATTTTGCTTAGTAACACTGCACTACTGCTTCTCCCTGTGGGATAAACACTACTATGCTAAACGTGATATATGAAGTTTGCTAATTTTGTCCCATGATCACTCTAAAAAAAGAATTGGCCATTTTCGGTTGAGGCTTAGAGAAGTGGTATATTTTCACTCAATAAGAAAGTTGGTGCTGGGTGTGGTGGCTCATGCCTGTAATCTCAGCACTTTGGGAGGCCAAGGTGGGAAGATCACTTGAAGCTAGGAGTTCAAGACCAGATTGGACAACAAAGCAAGACCTTGTCTCTACAGGACAAAGCAAAACAAAAACAAAAATGAACAAACCAAAAGGAAAGTTGGCACAACCGGTATTCAAACTGCGTTTGACATAATTAGAAAATCATGCCCTTTCTACTGCACAGACTACAGAAAATTTTCATAAAGAGAACTGTGGAACATGGTGTTGTCCTTACATTCAAAATTCCCCTTTTCGCCAAGGTAAAAAAATCATTAGGCATGTGAGGGCATTGTGTACATGAGAAAACGCTGTACTTTCTACTAAAGTTTGCTATGAACTTAACACTGCTTTAAAAAAAATAAAGTTTGGTCTTAAAGAAATAAACACCATGGATAGTTGGCCCTGAACAATCAAGATACATTAGATTATTGGTATCTGGGATTTTTGAATAATGAAGATGACTAATGTAAATAGGGATATATTATATATATAAAATCAGACACAATGGAGCATAACATGTTCCCATGCAGGATTTATTTTGTTTTGTAAAGGGCGATTTAATTATTACAGCTTGCAAAGTCCGCCTTTTATTGAGATTAACAAGGTAGAATTCTGTAGCCACATGCTGAATCCCACGGCTGGCTCAGATCTAACAAGAACCAGTTGCTTCATTCAATTTCTTTCTTCCTCCAAAATGCAATTAACAGACTATGATTAGTTGAACAAATTCCAAATCGTATTTAAATGAAAGCAATTTACCTAGAGTCTGTGTCCAATAGGTGATCATTTTCAAATCTCCTGGAAGAATTGGATGGTTTCATCTAATTGTTCTCAGGAAGAAATGGATTTAAATGCTTGGTTCCAATAGGCCCCACCATGCGCAGCCCATATGGTGGTTCAGAGTTCCTCTTTCAGCTTCTCTTGCCCAAAGGGCAGCCTGGGTAATTACATCTTGCTTCCAAAATATTTTTATGATGGACTAAAATGTTTCAATCTAGCACAAAATAGTAGCTAAAACTTCCTAACTACTAGGCAAAGAAAGTTGCAAGGGTATATATATGGGCAAGTGGGATGGGTAGTATTTGTAAGGTTAAATTGTAATTCAGAGGAGGGGGAGGTGAGAGTAGAATTGCAAAGCACTAATAATAAAGGTTGTTTGTGTGCTAGATGTAAAACACTGAAAGAAAGTTCACTTACTTTTTTTGTTGTGAGGCTTAAATGAACCATTTAAGCCTCACAATAAAATGTGAGGAGTGCATTATTTTTTTCATTATTCCGAGGAAGAAACTGAAACTTAGGAAGTATTAATTAAATTCCCATAAATCACATGTGGTTTGAACATGAAGAATCTGGGGATTCAAAACAAAGTACAAATATTTGACACTGTAGGCCTCTTTCTTTCTTCTCCAGCAGGTTGCCTTTATATTTTAAGAACCACAGATATTTGGCTGAAACATTTTTTCAGTTCACCTAAGAAAACGTCTAATTAAATATATTTATAATATAGCATTTCACAAATATATCCAAATTATTAGAGATAATGCTCACTATGACGTATAATATGGAAATATAACTCTAACATTAAAATTACAGCTTATCTTGAAGAACTGATCTGAAATTTACTCACATTAAAAAAAAAACTTCCAGTATTTATATTCTTACGGGGAGGGAATTTTGACAATGGGGTGCTATAGAAATTGACCTAGACCTAAAAACCACACCCAGTTACACTACTTAGTGACCACGAAGGCATAGATATTTATACCATTTTTCTAGGTTTGTAACAAAAGATTTTTAAGAAGATATCCTCAGCATGTAATACCTATGGTGACAAACTATTATTTTATAACTTCTAAGAAATAAAATAGGCATGTAACAACAGCATGGGGAATCAAAGAAAATAAATATGTGAATGACTCTTCTGGGATCCCATTGTAGTTTGGCTTGTAGCTTACAGTGCATTATCCTTATCTCTTGGTGTATCGCTACCATTGTACCCTGTGATTCTCAAAGGGCCAGGTCCTATCTTATTGCAGTTGTCAACACCTGCAATAAGAAGCATAAAGTAGCTTCTCAATAAATGTTTACAGCTATAATCAACACATTGAAGGGATCTCATATCTAGAACCTACATACCAGCTCTCCCTGAGGTTCTATTCTTTCACATCAGTGCCATCTGTATTTTTCTCCTTCATCAACATGGTTTGAGAACAGAGCACCTGTTTATTTCTCCTAGAAAAAAACTCACTACCAATAAAGTGTGTGTGAGTGTCAGAGATTGAATTGTGTTCCCTAAAATCCATATGTTGAATTCCTAACCCCCTTATCGCAGTGTAACCTTATTTGGAAATAAGGTCATTCAGATTAAACTAGTTATGATGAGGTTGTATTGTTATATGAGGGGCTCTCATTAGACAAAATGAATAGTGTCTTTATAAAAAAGAGGTAATTTGGACACACACACACACACACACACACACACACACACACACATACACACACAGAGAATGCCATGTGAAGACTAAAACTGTGCTCCCACAAGCCCAGGAACTAGCAGAAGCCAGGAGAGAGGCCTGGAACAGAACCTGCCCCAGCATCACCAGAGAAAGCATGGCCCTGCCAACACCTTGATTTCAGACTCCTAACTTACACAACTGTGAGACAGTAAATGTCTGTTGCTCATCCAGCTTGTGATGCTTTGTTTCAGTGGCCTTAGCAAACTACCACAGTGAGTCATAAATACTGTGCATTATCCTACTTCCCCTGTTCAAGCAAACCCCTTAAATGAAAATTGATACATTTTCTCCCAAGTTCTTTCTTGGCATCACCAGAGATTTTTGTTCTCTTTGTTTCTTCCCCCAAATAGAGATTATCCCCTTCCTCACCCCACAATGTCAAATTTTTATACTATGGTTATACAGACCAATTCATTTCTCCTCCCCAACCCCATTCTACTCCAAGTAATAGCAAAGTACTTTGCATTTACTTATGTTTTTCCATTCATTTTTATAAATTCTTATGCTATAGGTATTATCATAGTCAGTGGACAGTTAAGAAAAATGAGACTCCAAATGTTAAGTGACTTGAGAACATACAGCAAGTAAATGGGACAGCCAGGGCTCCAAATGAGCTCGACGCTTTCATAGACAAAAGCACATAGCGTTTATTTGCTTAAGTCCGCACACATAGGTAGTTTGACTGACATTGTCAGTTTAGTTTAAAAATTGTTCATATTAAAAAGGAAAATTAACTGAACTTGTCAGAGGCATCCTAACCAGAGTGACTTCATCTTGAATAAAGGGTGGATAAGGCCAAATCTGCTAGATTGTATTCCCAGGGGGTTGGGAATCCTTGGTCACAATATATTTATGGTTGAGGGAATGAGTTAATGATGTTAACCAGCTAAATAAAGACCCAGTGCTTATGTAAATATTCTGATATCTTGAAAACAAAAAAATTCTTTAAGAATTGGTTTCACTTTAAAAATTATGCATACATTCTTGCTGAAATCAATAGTTACACAAGAGAACAACAATACTAATAGCCTGTCACAAGCAGATAACAAGCCTTTGTAAGTAAGCATGTAAGGCCATTATTCTTAGCTCCATTATCCTATATAAGCAAGCACTGTATTCGAGGTGGTGCATTCCTCGCCTTGCTTTCTGAGGATGCCTGACTCTAATAGAGTAGTCTCTTACAAGCTAACTTAACTTCTCTATACTCTGCGACTCACTCTGAATTCTTTCCTGCATGAGTTCCAAGGACACAATCTTGGGGTCTGGGACAAGACTCCTTTTCCAATAACAAATTGAAGACCCATTTGCCTGATGGTGATATGAGAGGAGACAGGAAAATACTGGGTAGAAGAGGGCGGTTCCCCAGCAAAGGCCCCACCCTCAATCCTGGAAACCATGGCCCTAAATAAGAACAGTTATCCCTGTTTTCCCACCCAAGGGTTATCTTTTTGGCCCATCCTGCCCCTACTATGCTGTGCCCATATAAATCCCAGACCTCAGCTGGCAAAGAGACAAGTGGCTGAATGTTCAGAGGAGAAGCAGCAATTGAGTGTGGGAGACTATGAATAGATGTGGCTTAACTTCAGACAGCATGACTTCAGGGAGCAGCCCGGTGGGAGATGGCCAGGCTTCAGGGAAAGATCACTTTCTTCCTGTTCCATTTCCTTTTACAGCTCCCTTTCTTCCACCACTTAATAAAATCTTCCGTATCCATCACCTTTCAAACCATGCATGTGACCTGATTCTTCCTGGTTGCCGGACAAGAGTTCAGATTGCACTGGGTGCGAGAACCCAAAAAGCCTGTCACACTGACTCTTCACTGAGCAGTTTAACACTGAAGCCATGTATGGCAAAGCTAAAAGAGCATTAATTGTAACACACCCCTAGATGCTGCTGTGGGGCCAGAGCCCGAAAGCGATTGCCCTGGCCCTAGCACCTGCTTACCTGCATCATCCCTCCCATGAAAGGTTGAGCCCAGTGGGTTCAAGTGAGTGAAGTTCATCCATGCCTGCACCAAAGTGGCCAGCTGGACCCAGGGCTGGTGCACTCCAGTTCCCGCCTGCAAAAGGATCAAGGGAACTATCCCATGTCAATGGCTCCATGCAATCTAGTCTAACAAACTGAAATGGCAGGGTGTGCAGACAGTCCATGACTTACCTTTATTGAATAAATTGCTTGAGTGTTTCCCTGTGGAGTCATACCCAGGTTTCCTCTCTATAGACGACTTTGGGTTCTAATATATGTCTGGCAATGATGTACAGATTCTACTGATAGATTCACATCAGATAATCAGTTATCTAATTATTTGTATAGAAACCATCAGATAGTCATCGCTCTCCCAACCCACATCCTCCTCAATGTATTACTCTTCACATATCAAATATCTCTTCCCTTTTCTCCACTCCTACTCTTTGTCATGCCTCATACTTTGTAATTCACACAGACATACCTGATAAAGGCCCATCAAAACTGCTGAAATTCATCCTTTGTCTTTCCAGTTCTCATCACTCGTTAGTGACACATACAGATAAGTCTTTGACGATTTTGCTCTTTTTTTAATTCCTCATATTTTACTGTGCATAAAGAGATAAGAGACAAAGGCTCATCAAAGCCATCATTAGGCTACATTTATCTGCTTTGAACTGTCTTTGTCTTCTATTAGTTTTTAAATTGGTCCCAGTCTTTGTGTACCTAGCTGGAATCTCTCATTATATTTGCTCTTTTTTTTTTTTTTTTCATCTGTTACTGAAACAGCAATGCTACTTGGTGATTTTTTTTGTCTTGCATTTTCAGTGATGAGAGTATCTCTAAGCAATCTTCTAGAAGTTTGAATTCAAAAGAAAAGTTGTTTTTTTTAATTAAAATATTAAATGTGCTGCCTGTACTTATGTTTATCATCTGTGAAACATTCATTTTTCATACTTATTCTTTTGCAGTTTTTGAGAGTATTGTTATGCAATGATTATTCCCAATGCCAAGCTATCAACAGGAGTATTTTGAGATAAACAATGTGTTTACAATAGGAACTGTAGTGGTGTCTTTTGTTTTGGAAGATGTTGGCATTTATACTATTATTCTGCTCAGGAATGAGCCTGTCTTTCTAAGCCTATTGGAGAGTTGCAGTAATTTTCTCAGTGATTGCACACAGAATCGGCCCTCTCCTCAGTGTCATCACCAGCTGAGGAAAGGTCTTCTAGTTTTTTGGTGACCTTAGCTACTTTATTAATTCATTTTGTCCATTTATTCATTCACTCACTCATATGGCAACCACTAACAATACATCTTTAAATGTTGTCTAATAAACAGCGTTTACGACATCCTCTCTATCAAAACATAAAATATCTACGAATTTGTAGAAAAATAAAGTTTACAGTAACATGGGAAACTAAAACTGTCAGATAAAATCTAGGAGAGATTTCCTCTAACTTCCAGGCCTGAGTAATTTAGATTAAGAAATATAGGCCAGGAGCAGCGGCTCATGTTTGTAATCTCAGCACTTTGGGAGGCGAAGGCAGGCGGATCACTTGAGGTCAGGAGTTCGAGACCAGTCTGGCCAACATTGTGAAACCATGTCTCTACTAAAATACAGAAATCCCCTGGGAGTGGTGGCGGGTGCCTGTAATCCTAGCTACTTGGGAAGCTGAGGCACAAAAAGCTCTGGAACCTGGGAGATGGAGGTTGCAGTGAGCCGAGATCTTGTCAGTGCACTGCAGCCTGGGCAACAGAGCAAGACTCTGTCTTAAAAAAGTAAATAAATAAATAATAAAAATAAATGGTAACCTACAAAGACTTGCCCTCATGGAACAGAAAGTGGATAGAAAGATATTTGTCTCTTTTATTTTACTTGATATGTGGAGAAAGATGTCCCTAACCTTAAAACAAACAAACACAAATTATATTCTTTTGGAAAGATGATCTCAGGAATAATGGATAAAAAGGGGAATGACAATGTGAGGAGATTGGGGAGGTAGTTTGGAGCAAAATGATGGTATACCGTGTAATTATAAAAGGTACATTTTTAATATTTAGGTCCTTAAAAGATACCCAGGTAGGGGTGGAAGTCAGACTGGTGTTGATAGAAACACATTCTGGCAATAGGACTCATTTATTTTTAGCTTATTTTTTTCCCTGGAATCTCAGGAAACTTAGCAATAGGAGTGGGAGACAATCTTGCCTCTGAATAGTATTTACCCTTGAGGAGGGTCTATTTAATCCAGGAAATTGGGCTAGCTGTGAATATCAAGTTACCTCTCAGCTCAGAGAGCTATTCCACCAGCTTGCAAATGTACATAACGGGCAGAGCCAAATAAAATACTATACCATGTCCTTCTGTTATCAAATGGCAAATCAAAACAAAAAGTTTAATAGCCTGTCATTGTCTCTTTATGAGTTTTGTAACTGAGTCACAGATTTGTGACAATTCCTCTATTCTAGATATGCTTTTCTAAATGCTGCATTTTGAAAGGCATTATTATTCAAAATTGGTAATGAGTATCAGCCCTAACTCTGCCTTGTGTGGTCTGTAAGTCTTTGAATATATAAAGAAATAACTCATGGAGGTTTAAGGTACCTCTCAATTTTCAGATTGATACTCTCTTTCCCTTAATATATGGCATTTAAAAATATACTTCATGTAGGTTTTCTTTTTCTAGTTTTTCAAATAAAAATGCTTAACCAATATAGTGATAAGGGTGCAGGGAGCAGGAGGGGATGATAGTGACTTGAAGTTTCCTTGGACACAATTATAGAAAATTGAGAGTTCTCATTCTAAACTGAGTATTTGAGGACAGTTACACCATAGGTCCATGTGCTATTGTACTTTTAGTACATGAGAATTTTTGTGAATACATTCTTTGAGGGACTAGTGTAACTCGTTAGAGCTTCTTTAAGAGGTAAGTGTGAAACAATGGTTCAATTTTCATATAACAAAGCTCCTTGGTATTCCTTCTTTTGCAAGAAAGTAAACTTAATATGTAAAATTAATTTATTTTCATTACAGTCTCTCATTGAATCTGCTAGGTGTGGTAGAAAGAACATAAACTTTGCACAGAATGATCTGGATTTGTATCCAGGCAATATTAATTATATCTCTGTGATATTGATTAATTCTGTTAACTTCTCTGAGCCTCATCAGTAAAATGAGAATAATGATAGTTTTTTAAAAATTATTAAATACATTTACCTACATAACGCACCTGGGAATAAATGGAATAAATGCTCAATAAAAGATTTTTCTTGGCCAGGCACTGTGGCCCACGCCTGTAATCCCAGCACTTTGGGAGGCGAGGCGGGCAGATCACGAAGTCAAGAGATCAAGACCATCCTGGCCAACATGGTGAGACCCTGTCTCTACTAAAAATACAAAAATTAGCTGAGTATGGTGGCATGCACCTGTAGTCCCGGCTACTTGGGAAGCAGAGGCAGAAGAATCACTTCAACCTGGGAGGCAGAGGTTGCAGTGAGTTGAGATCGCACCACTGCACTCCAGCCTGGCAACAGAGTGAGACTCCATCCAAAAAAAAAAAGAAAGTCTTATTCTATTGCTTATCTCTTGTGTGTCTGTATATATATATATATAATATATATATACATACCTTGTGTGTGTGTGTGTATGTATATATATGTGTGTGTGTATATATATATGTGTGTATATATATGTATGTGCATGTGTTTATACATATATGTATACGTGTGTATGTGTGTATACACACACGCTCACACATGCACAGAAATATCCCAATTTCCAGCTCAAAGGCTTATGGGGACAAGTTGATTACCATCTTAAAAATATTTTGCAAGGGTTCTCACTTTTCTCCGTTTTTGTTCTATGGGCTTTGGAAAAGTAGTGTAACAGATGATTAGTCTTCACAAAATTAAAGTTTTACTTTATAGACTCATTTTCTGGAGACGGTGATTTGATTGATATTAGCTGGTAGTATTATGGCATTCATATCACTGATTCATTTTATTGTAAATTTACTTGGGCTCCTTGACAGACTACAATTTCAGCTTCCTTTGCAATTAGATGTTTTCATACCACTAAATTCTCACCAATGAAATGCAATTCTCACCAATGAGATGTTTTCATACCACTAAATTCTCACCAATGAAATGCAAGGCCCCTCTCAATCCTGGTCCATAGAAGTTTCTCTTCTATAATCCTCTCTGCTCTTTTCCCATTTCTGCTGGCTGCAATGAGACCTCTAGGGAAATCTTGCAAATTACAAAGACAAGATGACATCTTCAACTTACAAATTGAAAATGCCCAAGGTCCTAGGAGTCTGGGTCACTGAACACTGCTGGGAGGAGAATGGCCCAACTAAGAATACCCACTACTTGAACAAGAGACAGACATTCCTTGTATTAAGCTCGCATTGCAAATACAAATATTTAGTACAGTACTTAGCATGGTAATGATTCCATAGTTGTTCTCCTTTTCCATAGGCCAAAGTATTGTTTCAACACATGGTCTAAAACCTAGAAAGACTCTGAAAACAATCCTTGAAACTGCCAATTTGTAATTATATCTCTCTGCTTCTTTCCATGTGCATCTCTTCCTATCACCCTGGTAACCCCAGAGCAGCTTACAGATAGATAGCTGTATTCATTGTTCTATCTCTACTGCTTTGCACTAGATGCATAATATATGTTTCTTGAATGAAGGACAGGAAACTACTAGGCAGGCCAGATTGAAGCCAGACAAGAAAGTACATTTCAGGCAGGGCAGACCAGGACACATAAAACCTAGTGGTTACAATCTGAGATTCTTTTAGTCAGAGCTCAAATTTTGTTAGTAGAGTCCCCAGTCAACCCTTACTAACCGAGGTTACTTAACCTCGCTGAATTTAATTTTCCCAGATGTAAACTGAGCAAAATAATAATACTCATAGAATTAGCTATTGCTATTGTATTTTTATTGTTATTATCATGAGGAAGGGAATTCATGGCTTTATGAAGCAACTAGAAAAGGTATGTGTACTCTTCAAAAGTTCCTGGGATGATAAGAATCTGTCTCTCATGGTCTCCCAGGGAATTTCATTTGCTTGAAAATATAAGGTTCTACTGAAATCAAGTAGGGTGTTACTAAACAATTACTCACCCATGGACCCAAATAGCTCTTGCTAATGTCACAGTGACTCTTATGCATTTAGGAAACAGCTTTGCTTTTGAAATTTTAAACTAATCAGACTCATGCCTGGAACTTAAGAGAGCAACAATCAATTAAAAAAAAAAAAACAAAAAACAAAAAACAAAAAAAAAGCAAGCGGAGTAAGTGAGAGGTTTTTCACTGAACCAGAAATGCAGAATAATAATGCAGAATAATAAAATGGGTATATGTGATATAATCACTGCTTGCTGCTGAATTAACATTGGCAATGCTAGCATAATTTGACATCTAAATAAAGATATTGAATTTGGAAAAGAATGTGATGTTTCAAAAGAGTGAACTATATTTCAAAAGAGTGAACTATATGATTAGGCAGTGTAAGAGTTGTTTAAATATCAACCTTACAAATCATTTAGAAAGCATTTAACACACAAAACAGTAGGAGATTGAAAAAAACAAAATGCTTAGATAAAGACAAATTAGGCTATTTTAAAAGAGTATAAATCCTCAGGGATAATGGAAAAGACAATTCTGTAGATATTACCTCTGCTTATTACTTTCTTTCATTTCTTTTTTCTTTAAAAAAAACAAAAACAAGAAAAATAAAGCTACTTAGTTTCATGGCTCTTACAGTTACAATTTCCACTCATTGTGTAGCCTTCTCTCCTTTCTACAAAGTGGAAAAATGTTCAGGACAAAAAAAAAAAAATGATAGATGTCTGATTAAGGAAAATTCTGTCCTACCGGTAGAGGAGATAATGGCATTTCAAGATGGCTGAATGTCAGAACCGGAAGAGACCTTTAGGCCAAACGCAGGTGCTTTCACCAGCTCTACCACATACAAATCATAGATTACTTAACCTGAGTTTCCTTATTGCTGCCTTAGTTTCCTCGTCCATAAAAGTCAGATAATAATATATAACAGATTTGGTATGTAGAAGTATTTATAAGTATTCTTGCTTTTTCACTCTGAAAGGCATTCCTCGACCTTGCCCAAGGTCAAGCAGCAAATCAGTTGCAGAGGGAAGATTAAAACCCCAGTATTTCAAAGGCAACATGAGTGCTCTTTTCTCTTCACCAAGTTGCCTTTCTGTGCCACTATTTGTCAACTGGATCTCAAACTTTTTCTGGTTATTTCTCAGATGTGCTGTTGAACATTGACAGATACCCCTAATATGTCCTAATCTCTTATGAATTCATTTATTAACAAGTAATTGTAAAGCATCTGTTATGTGTCAGACACTATTTTAATTACCAGGGATAGACTGGAGATCAGTGGAGACAAGCTGCCTGACCTTGAGCAGCCCATGGCCTGTCCAGGGGAAGGAGTGGGAGGGAGGATGACAGATAATAAACAAATAAACAAGAAATATATCAGATGGTGATAAGTCTTAGATAGAGAATTAAAATAGGGTGCTTTGATAGAAAGTGACCTGGTGGCAGTGTTAGATTGGATTATCAAGGAAGGCCTCTCTGGGGAGATAACATTTAATCTGTGATCTGGACTAAAGGAAGAAGCCAGCCACACAGAGGGAACTAGTGTGGAACCGGTACAGCAGCAAGGAGCTTCGCATGTTCGAGAAACAGTGGAGGGTCAGAGTCAAGGCTGCTGAAGCAGAGTGGATAGAGGGAGGGTAGTATCAGAGAAATGTAGGGAGGTGGGCAGTTATCACACGTTATAATATGGGATTTCTAAACCACGGGAAGGACTTTGGATTTCATTCTAAGAAAGCATTGGAAAGTCTTAGCGGGAAAAATGTCATAATCAGATTTATTTACAGATAAGAAAGAGAGAGAAAGCCTGAAAATGAGGTTTTAGGGCAGGTAGAGGAAAAGGAGATAGATAGAATAGATAGATGATAGATATAGATAGATAGGTAGATAGATAGATGATAGAGATAGAGATAGATAGATAGATAGATAGATAGATAGATAGATAGATGGAAACATGGTATTTAACATATTTAACAATGTCTTTCACTGGTCATGATCTCTCCTAGTGTCAAACTTGAAGCCAGTTTTAGACATTGCTTCAACAAAACAAAGCAAAATAACAATAAATAAAAGCCTATACATAAGTCCAATTCCAATACAAGGAAAAACAGGGCAAATTTTACTAAAGATAAAATTCAGGCAGAGAAGTGGGAGGAGGTTCCTTTGTGAAACACAAAGCAAAGTAGCCTCAGAAATCCCATTTCAACATTTCTCTTCCAACGCTCTTCATCCTACACAGCTGCCTCATTTCTCCTTTCCTCTGACCTCTCAATGTAACTGAACAGCTTAGTAGCTTAGCCTCAAACGATGTTTTATTTTTTTTTCCTCTCCCCTGTCCTCCTTCCCTCACCTCTAGTCTCATGATATAGCTTCGAGACAGACTGCATATGTGTCACCTTTCATCTTCAAATGTAGCCTTGAATGCGCTGTGAATCTCCACTCCCTTTCTTTTCCCATACCATGCTCCCAAGCCTTATGCACCTTATTTACCTAGATGTGTGTTAAGCTCACACCATACTCACTCATCTGGTCATATATTTCCTTAGAAGTTTCAGAAGCCATATCCTGACATGGACCAGATGCTTCCAGCCACAGTGGCGCTAGCTCCTTCACCAGATAAAACAATAATTCAAGACAAGCCACCAGTGTCGTCAGGCCACCTGATACCTCCTAACACCCTGCCTCTTTTGCATTCCAAACCCTTTCCTTAAAAACCCCTGCATTCCTTCCATAAATTGATGAGTGAAAAATTTTTGAAAGAATTACACCCACTCTTCCCCTTGCTACCACGGATAATAAAATATACTCTCTTTTTATCAACCTCAATCTTGTTATACTGGCTTTTTTTTTTTTTTGAGATGAAATCTCACTCTGTTGCCCAGGCTGGAGTGCAGTGGCACAATCTCAGCTCACTGCAACCTCCGCCTCCTGGGTTCAAGCAATTCTCCTGCCTCAGCCTACTGAGTAGCTGAAATTACAGGTGTGTGCCACCACGCCTGGCTAATTTTTTTGTATTTTTAGTAGAGACGGGGTTTCACCATACTGCTCAGGCTGATCTCAAACTCCTGACCTCGTGATCCACCTGCCTCGGCCTCCCAAAGTACTGGGATTACAGGCGTGAGCCACTGCACCCCGCCGGCTTCTTTTTGTAAGTGGCAAACAGCCAGATTCTTTTGCTTATTACGTCAGCCCACCTCTACCTTGCCCCTTCTCATAGCACTGATGAAATGCTCTCCTCCTCTCTCTGTTTGGAACCTCTCTTTAGAGACTTGTCGTCCTTTCTTATGCAAATCAATTTAACCATAAATTAGATCCCAAACTGAGCCCCAACCATGTTCCAGCTCACAGACAAAAAGCAAAGTTTCTTCCTTGGGATCTCCTCCACATTAACAAGGGTAAAAATGGAACTGGTGACCCTGGGGAAGTTATAACTGACTAGTAATTAAATACAAAAAAAAATGGCAGCAAGGTTTCATATATCAACTCAATAAGCTTTGAAGGAAGGCAGCATTTCAAGATGGGCCCCAAGATTTCTGTCCGCAATGTAATCCCTTTTCCTTAAAATAGGATTTATGATTATGATAGGATGCCACTCTTGTGGTTAAGTTACATTATATGGCCAAGGTTAAATAATTTTGTAGAGGTAATTATGATTCCTAATCAGTTGAATTTGAGATAATATAAAAGGGATTATTCTGGGTGGGCCTGACCTAATCAGGGGAACCCCCTAAATTGTCATATTTAGATCTTGCTTAAAGGGAGAAATTTGAAGCAAGAGATGTTCCATCTGGCCTTGAGGAAGTGAGAAGAGGTCCTCTGAGAGGGACATGTGGGCAGAATCTTGGGACTGAGAGCAGCCCCAAGCCTACAGCAAGAAAATGGGTTCCTCGTTCTACAAATTGAAGAAACTAGACTGCCAAAACCCACATGATCTTGGAAGAGAACTCGGAGCTCCAGAAGTGAACGCAGCCCAGTTAACACCTTGTTTGTAGCTTAGTGAGACCCTGCATAGAGAACTCAGCTTTAGTGTCTGTCTGGATTCCTGACCCATGGAGACTATGAGACAATAAATACATGTTGTTTTAGGCTACTCAGTGTGTGGTAATTTGTTATGCAACAAGAGGAAACTAATATAAACCGTGGAAAACATTCCTAGATCTATTTCATTAGTACTATTCTGTGGTTATTTTTATTTTTTTCTGTAACCTCCCTTCCTCTGCCTCCAGCACAATACTTTTTTCCTTACTTTAACATTTCTTATACTTACTCTTGCTGGAGCAGTTTGTCCTCCTAATGGCCTATTTCAACACTTTTCTAATTTGCTTTTCTAAGTGTCTTATTCCATTTATAGAATATCATAAATTAAGTATCCAATAAATAACAGATTAATTTCTCACAGTTCTAAAGGCTGGGAGATCAAGATGCCAACATATTTAGTATCTGTTGAAGACCTGTTTCCTGGTGCATAGACAACCTTCTTTTCTCTGTGTCCTCATATGGTGGAAGGGATGAGGGATCTCTTTGGATTCTCTTTTATAAGGGCACTAATCCCACCTAGGAGAGTTTCACCATCACCTAAATATCTCACGAAGGCCTATACCATCCTCTTGGGGGTTAAGATTTCAATATATGCATTTTGGAGAGACATAAACATTCAGACCATAGCATTTAGTGTTATAAAACATTTGCTCTTTTCACAAAGATATTTCTCTCTGTCCAGATTTTTCTTCTATCTTATCTCTCTTTTAAAATCCTACTTATCCTTTTAAGTATGGTCTCGGGATACTTCCACCATGAAGCCTCATCTGATTACAGTTGTGACCACTCATTCCAACTTTCCATAGCACTTTTAGCACAATGCTTGGAGGTTATTTTAGAGAGCAAAATCACCAACAAAAAGCACACTGCCTTTGCCACTTCCTTCATGCATCTTCATGTTGCTTATTGCCTTGTTTTAAAGTCATTTGATTGTTGTTTCCCATCCTCAGTTGCACTATAATCTCTTTGATTACAGAGACCACATTTTTTCATTAGCACCAAATACAACGAACTTCATTATTTGTTGTTTCCATATTTGCAACTTTGTTAATTGCTAAAGTTTATTTGTAACTTTAAAAGCATGCCTGTAGTCCCAGCTACCATGCGGAAGCTGAGGTGGGAGAATCACCTGAGCCCAGATAATGAATCTTCATTATTTGTTGTTTCCATATTTGCAATTTTGTTGATTGCTAAAGTTTACTTTAACTTCAAAAGTGTGCCTGTAGTCCCAGCTACCAGGGAGGCTGAGGTGGGAGAATCACCTGAGCCCAAGGAGGTCGAGGCTACAGTCAGCTGTGATTGTGCCACTGCAGTCCAGCCTGGGCAAGTGAGACCCTGCCTCAAAAAAATAAAATAAAATCAATACTCATGGCACTTTCACAGTCATTCATGAGCATGCATATATGCAAAGTGGCAAAAAACGGAGTTGCCTGACATGCACACACCCAGCTAAGGTGGAACATGTCAATCCTTTTCTTCTTGTTTCAGCTGTCATACTGGAAACAAGTTCCCTTTTTTAAGTCTACTCAGTGGCAAATTTTTTTTTCATTTTTGTGCTTTTTCTTGGTGATTTTGCTGTCTAAAATGACCCCCAGGCATTGTGCTAAAGTGCTATCTATTATACCTACTCACAAGAAGGCTATGTTGTGCCTTATGGAGAAAATAGATGTTAGATAATCTTTATTCCGGCATGAGTTTTAGTGCTGTTGCCACGAACTTAATGTGAAAGAATTAGTAATGCATAAGAAATAAAGTGTCTTTAAATGGAAACACACAGAAATTAAAGTTATATGTTGATCTGTTGACAAAAATGTTGTGACCAGATGCTCATAGGAACCAAACCTTGTAATTACCCTAGGAACAATGGTTCAGTGTTTGCTAATTCAGCATTTGTGGCAACTTTATAGAACATAACTACTGCAAACAAGAATCAACTATACTGAGTATATTTTGTCACTGCCTCCTAAGAATTCCTAAATGTGCCTCATTTTTTCATATTATTGCTTTATCTTTCCATCCATTCATCAACTGACTATCCATTGAATATTTATTTCTTCCTTTATCTCTGCCAGACACTGCTTGGGACTGAAGGTACAAAGGCAAACAAGAGAGACATTATCTTTATTCTCTGGAATCTCACAGGGCAGCACTGAATAATATAGAATGGTACATATTACAGTACAAAAGATACACCATTTATTAAAGTTCACACAATGAAAACCATATGTACAGTTTTATATCAGAGTTGATCTTCTGAAGAAATAATATATAGAAAATAGCCTGATGAAGGATAGTGGCAGAAGGAAGTTGAGTAAAAGATCCTGAAGTGAGAGAACTAGGCATCAGTAAAGAATGAAAAGAATGCTAGTAGAGCTACAGGGTGCAATTCAGAAAGAGTGGAGTGGTGTAAGCCCAGAGATTTTGAAAGCAACATGCTATTTCTCTGCATAGAAAATGTTCATGCAAAGTTATTGTCAAAGATAATTAAAAATCAACAAATGATGACTAAATGGTTGAAGTGCATCTTATATAAACAACCCGAGAAACTTAATTTTCAAATGTATTTGTTCAAAATCAGTAGTACTGGTTTTTTAGGGTATACATTTATATTATATTAGTTAAATTAGATGTTCAAATGGTGAACTTAAAACTCTTGAAAGTTTAAAAATCAAAATAAAATAAACAAGTAATATGACAACCTGACATAACATTTATAAAGCATTTTATGTAAAAGAATAACTCAATTTAAAGACTATCTGGCCAATACTCAATTTTCTATCAATGAAATAAATATTTCACTATCAACACAGCTTTCAAGGCACATAATCCTCCAGTGGTATATAAAACGTTAATATATATATGGGCAGGTTCATCATATTATGAAATCATCATTCTCACTTAAAATTCCAGAACTGATGAATTTTGATTACTGCTGCTTCTACAAAAGTGATCACAATCAGTTAATCCTTTCCCTGGAATAATTATAAAATAAATACTGTTTATCCTGTTATTTTCAGTGTTAATGGTGTGGTTTTAAATTTTTATTTTTTAAAAAAGTTATTTTTATCCATATGCTAATGACTTGTATTCAGATTAAATATTTCTCAAAGTGAATATACTATTCTTATTTCTAAACACATGGGACATTAACTATTTGCTTCCATACTTTGACAAGCCTTTGTGTATCAAGAAACTTTACTGTTGACGCCTGTATTACCTAGCCTATGACCGTAGTTCTTTGTGAAATTAAATTACCATTCCAATGTCCATCACTGATATTAAACTTGGTATTAACTAAATACTTCCTTTTGTTCTACTTAGAATATCAATGCATGAATCCTATTAGAGGGGAAAATATATATATATATACATAAACACACACACACACACGTATACATATATACACATATATATACATATGTATATACATGCATATATATCTGTGTGTGTGTGTGTCTACATACATATATAGATGGAAGGAAGATATTTTGTTCAGAGACTACTAGTCCTTGATTTTTCCTGAGTCTTCAAGGAAACGTAATCCTGTTTGATGATCTAAAAAATTGAAATGCATGAAAGAAAGTATATATAATTAAATCAATTTTTGAATATATTTACAATTATACTACTTTATTTGGCAGAGTATGAAGGAAAGAATATGGGACCAGTAGGAGTTTTTATTTTGTGTTCCACAGCATAATAATTTCAAATGCTTAATAGATGATGCTTAAGAAAAGGGATAAAGGGCTCTTTAAAGAACCAGACAATCACTCAGAGAAATGCTGAGCTGGAGAGGAAAGTTTGGCTTTTACAGGAGATTGACTATGCCTGAAATATAAATGAAAACAATAATAAAGAGTTAGTTTTCACTTATATGACACAAATAAAAAATAACACTTCAGAAATGCATGAGAGAGGCATGAGTTTTTTAAAAAAATAGTGAATCAAGCAAAAATAAACAGGCATTGATGTTTACCACTGCATTTTTATTATAATGTTTTATAATAGTGTAAATTAAGAAATATCAGCATTAAACATTTGTATGTCAATTTCATACACTGACATACATTAAAATAGAAAAGCATAGAGGTGATAAAATGATTATGAAGATATTCATTATAAAATACATTATTAAATGTAAAAAGTTTGTCACAGTGTTATGTATACATATATAAATATTTTATAAATATGTTAGTAAGATTGGAAAGATAAGGACAAAAATATTAACAGTATTTCTGGATGGATAAATGGTCTGTTAATGATTCTATTTTACATTTATTTTAACTTACATGATTTTCAATTTTTTCTGCAAAGATGAAATGTTATTGCATCATATGTAAAACAGATTTTAGTGAATATTGATAACTTTTGACTTCCTCACATTCTCCTTTTTCACCTCAAGTGACTTTTACTTTGCTGAAAGGTCGTTGGAATAGACAAGAGTTCTTTTTTTGAAGCTGGGGATGAGCGTTCATAGACTGTTTCAGCATAAGAAAAAATTTAGAAGGTCTTCCACAAATTCAACCTTCAAAATCAGCTTCTAAGCTCCCTGTGGAAGGGTTCACTTAGGCATGCAATTACCCATCGCAGGTCTAATTGCCCATTTGCATGCACAATTTAGAAAGGCACAGTTGAAATTTAGTCCCAGGCTCTCCAACACTAATTTTCTCCCTTGAAATTGACATTTCAAAGAACATCAGGTGGCTAAACCTCCAGACTTGTTATTTATTTCAACAAAAAGGGAATTTTCTCCTTTCCAAGTTGAAGGTTTGGTTTAAAAAATTGAATTAAAAGATGAAAGGGAAAAGACAAGTACACAAAGGAATATGCCTCACCTTTACACTATCAAGAATAGACTCTTATTTGCTTTGAAAACAGTTATAATGTGATCGGTTATCCAATTAGCAAGACTGTCTCTACTTCTGCCTGAAGAGAAAAAGATACTTAACCATCTTGCAGTTTCATGCCTCCATTTATAAATAACTCTATCCTCCTCTGTAAAAGTGGGGATAATAATACACACTTCTTGGTACAGTTTTGAAAATTAGAACTGATAATACATATGAACAAATGTATGTGGTGAGCTCTCAATATTAGTCTCCTTTCTCCATTCCCCTCTATTTTCTGTACATGCTGTCCTTCACTTTCACAGGTAGCAAGACACAGAGTTGACTTGTGCCAGCTAACAACTAAAAATATTAAGTGGTGAAACAAGGTTATCTCTTCCCTGCCAAGTCAGTTTTGTGAGCCCTAATCGAAGAGACTGAAAATAGACGCATTTATGAATTTGATGGTTAGGCTTACTGTGTTATTTAAAACAACGTTTATCAATAGCTCTATCAATGGAAAAGAAAAAAATGAAGTCTACCAACTGCTAGGTATTGTGAAAAACTAGCAATCTATCTTACCTCCATTACTACACATTAAAAACAAAACAAACAAACAAAATAATAACTATGTAGGCCCTTGGGAGTGAGTTGAACACATAAAAGGTATCTGACTTCTGCCTAAATCATGGAGAGGTGAGTAGTGGTCTGGTTAACAGCTTTGGCAGTAAAAAAGAGTTCCTGCTGCATTGGGGCGGTGTGATCCCAGGGCAAAAGGACATGTGGTTTTCTATGGAGCCGCTGTAGGTATACAAGAAAGAGTTAGAGCACATGATCTTCGGACTTGTCCAAGAGGGCCATCACAGGGACGAACTAATCTCAGCAAAGAGAAATTGTCAGCCAGTCATATGCCTCTTTCCACCTACCCCGCCTACAGTCTTCCTCTCTAATGTAGGGTGGGGGAAGAGATTACAACTCTAAATCAAGTAGGATTTTCATTATTGCATGAGCTTACACATGTGTGAGCATACCAGCTCAAAACATTAGCCCTGGCAATACTTGGCACGTCACAATTAATCAGTAAATTGGAAGGAAAGAAGGAAGGCAGGAAAGAGTTCATTTGTTTTTACAGATACAGGAGAATACATTTATATGAGTTTAGATACTCACTGGGCAACAGCAGGGCAAATTCAAGAATGAACGAAATTTCTCTTTCACATCTAACTCTCCTGCCTTCTTTTCAGATGCTTTTGTGTCTTGCTGCTTTGATCTTTTTTCTTCCCTTGCGCAGTCCTGCATGCACGGGCCTCATAATGCATTTTTTACTAACAAACTCCCTTTATAAGGAGTCCTTACAGTCTGACTCAAGTAAAGGAAGCAAGATCAAATTTCCAAAGAGGAATCCTGCTATCCCCCCCGCCACCAATGTGTAACGCTGCTTCTGTTTCTATTAGTCAATCTATGGGTTAAGAGCTGCAAACCTACGCTCCACACCTTACCTAAACAGGTGTTGTGATTGCATTTGTTACAACAAGCAATTTGTGCTGAAGTTATTAAATAGCTCCCCATTTAACTCCAACACTGGTGTGGGTTGCGATGGTAAAACAAAAAATACATTAATCAATTAGTATTTAGGTTGAGAGATGGTGAACATAATACCTGAACAAGTTCTTTAAGGAATTAAAAAATAAATGGACATCACATATTATAGGCTTAGAGACCAACAAGTGTCTTCTGAATTACTCCAGTGATGTTATTTCTGGATGTAATCAATTTCTACATTAATTGCTTCTGCTCTATCATTCTTAAAAGGTGGATATGTGCTTTTATTTTTGCCTCATATAGTTTGAACATATGTGAACAGTATCATAGGGAAAGAAAAAAAAATGTATGCACTTGACCAGCCTGGGAGTGGAATGAGCAGAATAGGTTGCCCTCAGAATATTGCCACACTCTCAACCCTGTCTACAGGGTTATTTTACTGACATGGGGCAGTAGGCCTTCTTTAAGCATTCGTGATCACATTCTTCATGTTTTTGTTTTTGGTTTTTGAGACAGGGTCTCACTCTGTCGCCCAGTTTAGAGTGCAGTGGAGTGATCATGGATCACTTCAGTCCAAACTCTCCAGGCTCAGGTGATTCTCTTGCTTCAGCCTCCCGAGTAGTTGGGACAACAGGTGCATGCCATTACACCCGGATAAGTTTTGTAGGGATGGAGTCTCACCGTGCTGCCCAGGCTGGTCTCCAACTCCTGAGCTCAAGCAATCCACCTACCTTGGCCATCTAAAGTGCTGGGATTACAGGCATGAACCCCTACATCCGACTTAGATTTTTTGTTTATAATCCTCCCTCATTGACCTACCATCATCTCCAGTCTTTGTTCCTTCTCCTCTGCTTTATTTACAAATATTGAAAGACCTCTGAGCCTGGACCTGGGCATAATTCTTACTCAAATTCCACCTACTCCATAGGTTATCTCTTCAAGTGACTATGAGTGCCATACTTAATAACATTGTATGATTACATATATGTACTATATATGTATATTTTTTCCTCCATTTCTAATGTCACAAATAAGGTTCAGTTATATTCCAATGTTCAACATCCTCCCTACTATCTCCCTTTTGGTATCTAATAGCCATTTCAAATTAATATAGATAAATATTACTTTTGAATCCCTACCCCCTGGTGTTCCTACTGTAAATTTCTTCCCCTCCAATATTTTCCTTTCATTAAATGGCACAACATACATTTAGTTGCTTAAACCAAATACCTATGTATCATCGTTTCTTCTTTTTTTCTCTTTCTCTTATCCCCATAACTAGTCTAAGAAAATCCTACCCAGTTCAAAATACATTGAACATGCTTCCACTTCTCTTTTATTTTCACTTTTCTCCATTCACCTTTCATAAAAAAAATCATCATCTTTATCCCTGACTCCTGCAATACCTGTTTTTGACCTACACTTTAGCAACTAGATCTTTTAAAGACATAAATCACACAATCTCACCACTTAGGACCTTTTGTAACAAATACAAATTGTATCCTACACAATTTCTAATAGACTACCATTTGTATTTGTACCAAAAGCAAATTTCTTAAAATGTCTGTAAAACTCCACATTATTGGGCCTTACATATCCTTCTCACTTTATCACTCACCACTTTGCTCCCTGCTCGCTCTGCTCCCAGCATATGACTTTCTTTCCACTCCTGCTTTAGCAACTACAGTCATGCACCACACAATGGCATTTTAGTTAATGACCAGCCACATGGTCTTACAAGACTATAATGGAGCTGAAAAGTTCCTATGGCCTAGTGACATTGTTTCCATCATAAAGTCCTAGCATTACTCATGTGTTTGTGGTGATGCTGGTGTAAACAAACCTATTGCAACTGCCAGTCATATAAAAGTCTAGCATATACAATTATGTATAGTACATAATACTTGATAATGATAATAAATGGCTATGTTATTTATGCATTTATAATATTATACTATTTATCTTTATTTTGCAGTGTAATCCTTCTAGTTATTTTTTTAAAAAAGTTAACTGTAAAACAGCCTCTGGCAGTTTATGCAGGAGTTATTCCCAAAGAAGACACTGTTATTATAGGAGATGACATCTCCACACGTGTTATTGTCCCTAAACACCTTCCAGTGGGGCAAGATGTGGAAGTAGAATACAATGATATGGATGACCCTAACCCTGTGTAGGCCTAGATAATGTGTACATGTGTGTCTTAGTTTTTAATAAAAAACTTTAAAAAGTTAAAAAAATAAAAAATATTACAAATGAAAAAAGTACACTGACTGATATAAAAAAGTATTTTTGTACAGCTGTACAATGTTTTTGTGTTTTAAACTAAGTGTTATTTAAAAAGAATCAGAAGAGCTAAAAATAATTCAAAAGTTTATAAAGTAAAAAAAGTTACAGTAAGCTAAGGTTAATTAATTATTGAAGCACATTTTTGTTTATAAATTTAGTGTAGTGCAAGTGTACAGTGTTTATAATTCTATAATGGTATACAATAATGTTCTAGGACTTCACATTCACTTCCCACTCACTGACTCACCTAGAGCAACTTCTAGTCCTGCAAGCTCCATTGTGGTAAGTGACTTATACAGATATGCCATTTTAAAAAATCTTTTAGACCCCATTTTTACTATACCATTTCTTTATTTGGATATGTTTAGATACACAATACCTACCATTGTGTTACACTTGCCTACAGTATTCACTACAGTAACATGCTCTACAGGCTTTGGCTTAGGAGCAACAGGCCATACCTTATAGCCTAGGTGTAGTAGGCCATGCCATCAAGGTTTGTGTAAGTACACTCTATGATGTTTGCACAATGAGGAAATTGTTTAATAATGCATTTCTCAGAACATATCCCCATCATTCAGCAAAACATGACTGTATTTCTTCTACTTAAAATGTTGGCCTTCCATGCCAACAATCTGATAACAAGTTTCTCCTGTTATTTAGGTCTCAACTCAGATGTTTTATCCTTAATTACATCCTGCCACTCTAATCACTAAAGCACCAATCTTCCTCCTTCTTTCCTTCACTGTGCTTATCACTCCCTCAAATTACTTCATTCATATATGATTTTACTTGCTTTTATTTTATATTCCCCTATCAGTATGAGAGCTTTATCACCATTCTTGGCACACAGTAGATACTCATTCATATGAATTAGGAAGTAACGTTCTGCACATTGTGGTTATCTAGTAACCTGAGAAAGACTGCAACAAAAGTTTTACTTTACTACCTAACATTTATTTAGGGCCCACTATGAGTCACAGATATTTTTCTAGGCACTTAACATATATCAACTCTTCAACAATCCTATGAGATTGATATCATTTTATAGATGAGGAAACTGGAGCACAGAACTTTACATAAGTTGCCAGGGTCACATACCTAGTACTCTGTAGGTAGAGTTGGGCTGTGGACCAGGCAATGGGGTGCCAGAATCTGCACTTCTAAACATCACACTCAGCTGGTGGCAGAAAGCACCTTTAGTAGCCAGGCCACTCAAAATGCACTCTCAAAATATGAACTGAAGAGGCAGACAGTCAGTCATATTTTGCAATTAGCAGGCAGTAGAGACAATGAAATAGTAGACACTATAAGAGACATTATATTTAGAATACAGAACCATGCAAAAACCAAAAATAATACAACCAGAAGACCAAATAGTTTTATGGGAGCCTGCAGAAACAGAGAAGCACAATGGTAACAAATACCCTGACTATTTGCTTCCTTTGTTCCAAAATTACATCTTAAGTTTCATGGAGGCTCCATTTCAAGCTATGGAGCTACTTTGAGTACCCACAACATTCCTGTTTTCATTCTTCTCCTTGTCGTTCTTATTTCTGTGTTTATCTCTATTATAAATCCCCAGTACTTGAGGTGATTTGATTGAACTCTGTTCCTTGAAAACAAAATTGCACAGTATAGCCAGAAGTTATTACCTCCCTATTTTCTATTCAAAGACTTCTTTCTACTCTCATTTAGGTGTCAATGAATTTCTGCAAAGGTGTTACTTGCTAATTATGGTTCTGGCTTACAATGGTGTACAGCAATGCTTCTCCACTGAAGTTCTCCCTGGGACATGAGAGTGAATAGGCTCCTCTGGGATTTCAGGGGCAGAATCTGCAGTGACCACTGCAGGGGAGAAAAATCTTTGAAGTCTTGTATCTTACATTTACAAATGCATATGACTTTTGCATTCTTTCATAATATGACCATGCTAGTTTTACTGTAACAATGTTTTTTCCATGGTTTCGAGGACTATCTAATATGTCACCGTGTACATTATTTTGAAAGGTACAACATTAAAATATAAACACTTTAAAAATGTATACAGTTTTAAAGTAGTCATCACAAGTTAGAAAGAAAAAACAGTCTTCAATATCTGAAAGCACTTTGCTATAATGATGGAAATCCAAATAATGAAAATTGCTATTTGCCAGCATGAAGTCCTGCTTTGGACCCCTCTCGGACAAATTTACAGATCACATTTTCTTTAGAGGCTTCCACAAGATTATATTATGACTTATTTCTAGATCTGGATTGAGACCAATGGCTTCCAAACATTTTATCACTGACTCATAATAGGAATAAATTTTACATTGCAGCCTAGTACACACAACCACATACCTAAAGCCAAAGTTTCATGAAATAATAGAGTATCTTACTATACATAGTACACTCTATTCTATTCCATTCGAATATCCATCCATCCATTCTATTATGTCCATACCAATTTTATTTTCTAACACATGCTGATCAAGAATCACTAAACTGATTATAAAATCTAGGAACGTGTGAAGACTCTTGCTTTGAAAGACATTGCATAAGACAATATCTCCATCATGTGTCATGCAAAGGCAACATGTTTATAAATGGGAAGGACACCGATGTGAATTAGACAGTATAGAAATCAAGCCGAAAAGAAATGTGCTACATCCCACAGATGAAGTCTAAAGTCAACTAGGATAATACTTAAAGAACTATACTTATTTTTCCTCAGAACAGTTAACATATCCAAAGTTCTACTTGAAGACTTACTTCTCCCTTGAACCAACTGCATTCATTGTACCTCCCCTAACTGACGCTCACAGCTTGGGTCTCGTCTCTCTGTTAGGACATGTAAGCACCATGACTTACTTTTTAAAATATTTCTTTTTGAAAACTGGAGAAAAAAAATTTCAAATGACTGGTTATCTGTCATTTTTTTTTTTTTTGAGGTATATAAAGTCAAAAGTGAAACTCTCCCTTCCCTTTATCTCTCCTTCCAATCACAACTTTCAGAAATGTTCATTAACTGTTTGATACATAAATTTGAAGCTTTCATTATTCAAGGATATATTAACCTATACGTGCTGTGAAGAGATACATAATTTCATATATGATTGTACATACTTTTAAATGAAATTTTATCTTATACATATATTTCCAGCTTGATTTTTTCCCAACAAAATGCATTATGTATCTTTTGACTTTAGTTAACCTACATGTACTCCATAGTTTGTAATGACCGTGGTACTCTTCCACTGGATGAACACCACACACAGTATTTAACTATTTGTCCATTGACTGGCATTTAAGTTCCTCACTGATTCTAACACTACCACAATGCTGCAATGATTCTCATACCCACATATACTTTTAATCCAAACATTTTACTGTGGTAGATTTCTGAAAATGAGCATTGGTACTTTAATTTTTAACTGAGGCTCCAAATTGCTCTCCAGAATATTTTGACCAATCTATACTTTCACTAACACCATCTGAGAATGCCCATTTCCCAAATCCCTGTCAATATAGATATTATCTATCAACACTGAAAACTTATTGTAAGTTTTGTGAGGAAAAAATGCATGTTTCGTTACTATTGAATTTTGTATTTCCCTGAGGTGTGAAGTAAGTTTAAGCATCTTTTCACGTCATGTAAATTTCAATTTTTTTCCTGAATTGCTCGTTCATATGTTGCCTATTTTTCTGTTTGACTGTTTATCTTTCCTAAAATTTTATTTGTAGAAAAAAAAGTGTCATAAAGCCCTATGTCTGTTCTGTATGCTACATTTTCCTTTCAGCATGTCATTGTTTTTTAACTTTATGCATAGAGCTGAGCCACATAAGAAGTGTTTTACATTTAAATTTGCTTGTTAATAGATACGCAGTTAAATTTGTTACTATTTTACTTATGACAACTATGTTTTGTCACGCTAAAACTGGTTTCACTACTTCAAAGTTAAAAAACTGCCTTCCATACTTTCACATCACTGTATTTTTCATGTAATATTATTGAAAATTATTTTTGTGTAATTGGGACTCCTTCGATAATTTATGTCTTGCTAGAAAAGAATCCATTTTATGTATTTCTAATTTATTTCTATATTTATGCAAACAAAATCTCATTATTTTGTTTAATCTCACTTGTATCTATAATTATACCTTATACTTTTCATTCCTATTTTTTTAACGTTAAAAATTTTCTGTGTCAGTCCTGCTAGGTTATTTTTTTTATTTTCATGTTTTTACAGAAATACATTTTATCTTTTTCATTCTTAACTTTAATTTTAGTTTTACAAAATATTAATTTTTAACTTTATTAAGCTTTTTTCTATCATAATTTTTTGTTTTGTTTTCTAGTTTCTAAAGTTGAATTAGTTGACTTATTTGTAATAATTTTTAAGGTACATAAAATTATATATTTTACTCTGAGTACAGTTACAGCGGCATCTCTTAATTTTAAAAAACATACTTGCATTTCTTTAATTTCTAAATAGTTTATATTTTTAATTTTGATTTGCTTTTTGAATATCTATTTGCAGCAGCAGAGAAGATTTGAATCTAGTTAGGAAATTAAATATATCTGGGCATATCTACTAAACTTGTACGAGCTGTGTAAGTAAATTCTCTCTTTTCCTCTACATATGGAGAATATTAGTAGAGTTGGGCTGGGAGAAAGCACCAGTTCTAGAATGGAAAGTGAAAGAAAAGAATGGCAGCATTTTCCTCAGACATTGGCCTAAAAGCCACTGAAAGGAATAGCACACTTGCCATCAGCTTTTTTGAACAAGGGCCTGAAGAAGCTGAAGGAGCTGTTTTACAAAGAAACCTCCTGACACGGTAGCATATGCCATCCAACTTTTGAAACCCAGATGAAAAGTAGGACAGTGAAGGAAAAGGAGGGCCACACTTTTTCTTTTTCTGCTGAACACAGTGTAGCTCCAATATATTAAAGCTTCTAGGAAAGGCTTTGGTCCCTCTCATCTATTCTATATGTAAATATTTTTAAGAACCTGTTTCATGCTAAGCACTGTGCTTGTCCTTGAAGAAGCAGTGAGGAACAGTGTTGGCTTCATCATAGGCTGAATCCTCAGCATGGACACGTGCCCTATCAAATTGAACACTGGTAGCCAAGGGCAGTGGGAGGTTAGCATGGGGATGTGGGAATCACTCCCCTGCCAAGTGGCCTCGGAAGTGGAAGACCACCAAAAAGGGAGACTGAGGAGAACATCAGAAAGTTGATGTAAGCATATCTAAAACTTCTGGCTAGAACCACACGAACACTTGGGTAAAATATGAGTGGGATTTGCAAAGGTTCCACATTCACAGATTAGAAAAAGACCTAGAATTATGTAGATTATTACAATTTATACATCCCTTGTAATTGTTTTCCAAGACTGGTGATGCCATTGCATAAGTATTTGCTCAGTACTGACAATTGACCAAAAATTGGTAGAGGGAAATGAGGTAAAGGGACTTTACCTTTGTTACTGTTATATACTGATTCATCCTCTGTATCTTCTTCGTTCTAAGAAAAAGATTTCAACATCATCTACATAACATACGTGCCAGATTTCTATGTTCCTAGGACTGTGTACATAGCATATTATTTAGTCAGTAAAATATTAATAACTCTGAGCAGTAATTATCATCATCATGGCTACTGAGGAGGAGACAAGCTGAAGGAGATTGACTCACTTACTAAAGTCACATAACTAACATAGGATAGAGTCCTTTCCAGGGAACAGTATATTTTCAGCCAATGTCTTTTGAACCAACGATGGTGTAAGTCATAGCTTTATTACTCATTCAGTTGCAAGAATTTAAACTGGGGTCTGGTGAGTCATAACCACTGAGCAATCACAAAGAGCTTGTAATCATTACCCATTTCAGAGTAACCTACAATAAAACCTACTTAAAAATGATCACTTTTCACCACAGATAGATCTGTAGAGGTGTAAAACAATATTATCAGATGTAATTATCTGAAGTGAAGTACTGCAGTGGGCACAAATATGGAAGAAGTGAGTATTAATTTTATTAAAATTGTTCATTAGAGTTAATCATTTGTTTATTCAAATGTATGCCCTAAGCACCTCCACATTACCAAATACTATGCTAGACAGTATGAGAGAAAAGACATAAACTCTTTACTAGAAGGAATTTACAGTTTAGCCAGGTAGATTAGATTCGTACTCCCGTTGGAAAGCACCGTCTATCATCTGAAACATACAAATAGCACATGGTAGAAAGAACACTGGGACTGGATTTCTTCCCCCATCGCTGATCAGAGGTGGAGCTTCTTCCCATCATACTTCCTCACTGGAGCACAGTTTTATTACCACTAAGATAAAAAATATGGTCTAGGGGACTGCTAAGATCTACAACATTTTTAAGTACAAGAATTTTATAAATGATTTAGGAGAGACTTTCCTGCAGTATCAGGAAAAACACTAAAGGAGAAAAATTGTATTTGAATTGGATCATGAAAGATTTAATTTGAGAATCTTCATAACAAACGGGAAGAAGTCAGATTTTAGGAAAAATATGTTTATTATAAAAGTAATATTATATTAAGTAATATTGTTGATTTAGCCACAAAACAGTTCATGGTCTTCAGTATGTGTGGAGAGTGTTTTAGGAAGTGGTAGCAAGATGTTGGAAAATTTCAACAAAAATGTTCTAGAGATTATAATTTAAATTCTTTGCATCATCTACACCTTTCCAGTTTAAAACAAATTTTGCCTTTAGTGTCATTTGAAAATTGTCTGCATACCAACATGCATTCTTTTTAATTTAATAGCAAACTGAGTTATGCAATTTGTTCACATTTCAATACCTTTCCTTACATGCTATAAAATTGATAGATCTTGTTTAGGAGTTCCTGTTTATGTTGAAATCACACCAGTATCAATCTTTATCTTGCATATATTTTTGCAAATATTTCTTGATTGTGTACCTTAACACTGAAATATTCTCGTGAACATTTTAAAAAATCAATCATCTTGATGTCAAGCAAACATTTGGTTGACTGAATTGTTGAGCATTCATCCAGATGTTAAAAATAACCAAGACTGTGTGTGTGTGTGTGTGTGTGTGTGTGTGTGTGAGATACAGTGTCTTCATATATTTAGATTTATTCTTTGGATACACAGATCTTGAAATTCCCCTAGTTTTATCTGTGGAACAAATTAGAATCACTACTAATAGTGCCACCTTGTGTCTAAAATTTAAAATCATGGGTACGTTTATATATTACAGAAGTTTCAAGTTAAAAATAATTATATAAATTAATCTACATCAAATTTCTCTTTCAAAATTCAGCAGTTGGAGGTCTAGCCAGGCAAGTGACGTGTTTAAAGCCACTCAGTCAGTGAGTGGTGCAGCTGAGACTAAAACCCAAGAATCATAATACTTGGTTTGGTACTTTTTAAAAATATATCACATTTTTTAGAGAAGTCACTTTTTATGACAAAAGCAAAGTAATCAATTTTAGGTTTAATAAAGCCAGGTGTAGATTTAATATTCATTTAATTTTAATTTATTGCCACAGTAAGATTCAGTTTTGATATGTAACTACTGTAAAATCCTAATAGTTAATGAATGTGTATTGCAATAATGTAGGCACCTATTATTAATGGGTATCAGGGACAATTAACGTGAAGAATATTATCTTTTCAGTTGTTTTTTAAACATATTAATTTAAAAGAAGTCATTCAAGATTTCTTCTCCCACATTATCTGATTTTATACTGCATTTAATGCATTAATCCACACCAGTCTTCAGAAGTAATTTTTAAGAGAGGATTGAGAGTACATGGCACAATGGTGGTGCAACAATGAACAGTCCAAAGCAGTTTTGATAGACTTATTAGTCTATAATAGACTTTTTGATAGACTTTTCATCCGAATATTAGCAAACTGCTATATTGTGTACTTTTATAGAATCTTTATATTTTCAGACCTCCTTCAACTGACTTTATATCAGATTTTCAATCAACAAATATCTATTAAGGATAACACTGAGCTGTTCATAATAAAATGTAAAAAACAAAAAAAAAAAAGGTGGAGTACATTGTCTTTGTCTTCACCCTGAGAGTACATAAGCATTTTTTAGTAAACTTTCAAAATTAAGGATATAGCTGGGCACAGTAGCATGCACCTATAGTCCCAGCTACTCAGGAGGTAGAGGCAGAAGGATTACTTGAGCCTGGGAGTTTTCATCTAGCCTAGGCAATATAGTGAGATCCCCAACTGTAAAAAAAAAATTAAGAATGATTTACTAACACACCATCAAACATTCACATTACTTCTATTTTTTAATGGTGGAGAAATGGAAAGCATTTTAAATGATGGGAAACAGAAGGAAAACGAAGAAATCAATATTTATTGGCCACTTGTGATACGCTGGGAACGTCACAATTGCTTTAATCCGCTAATTTGAGAAAGGGCTTCAGAAATTTTTACCCACAGCCCCCACTTTAATCCTCCATAGTTATATTACGTCCAGATTCTAACTTGCTGTTCTGCTTGGTTTACTCTTCCAGAAGTATGAAGCTTAATATTATGGCTGAAAATTGGCCTTCAAACAATAGAAACAAAAAACTTACTTTATGGCATGCATTTCTAGATTTTGGAATTAATAAACTTACTATACTTGAAGTTAGTTTACTTGTTTAGTAAATGTCTAGTATACCTTTACAAGATGGACTATGTTTTTTGGTCAATATTTCTAAACAGGAGCAAGTTTAGCTAATAGGACTTTTCCAGGGTGAAAATATGAAGATTTTCAAATGCATCCAGTTGTCTGATAGAACTCATTCCACCGCAGCAAAAGCAATACAGCAGAAACTAGGAGTCATTTTCCTTAGGTGCTTCCATTATAGAAATATAGTCATGGAATCTGAATAAAAAATGTGGTCATAGAGTACACAAAATAACAATAACAATAATAATAATGACGTGGCCCATTTTACTTCAATGGTTTTACACAAATTTGGTTATGTCAGCTTGATTGCCGTAATAGTAATTCTAATATTAAGAGAAGGGTCCCTTGTACTATGCTTTAGAAAACTATAGAAAGAGGCTGGGCGCGGTGGCCCACGCCTGTAATCAGAGCACTCTGGGAGGCCGAGGCGGGCGGATTACGAGGCCAGGAGATTGAGACCATACTGGCTAACACGGTGAAACCCCGTCTCTACTAAAAATACAGAAAAAATTAGCCAGGCGTGGTGGCAGGTGCCTGTAGTTCCAGCTACTCCGAAGGCTGAGGCAGGAGAATCGCTTAAGTCCGGGAGGCAGTGGTTGCAGTGAGCAGTGATCGAGCCACTGCACTCCAGCCTGGGCGACAGACGGAGACTCCGTTTCAAAAAAAAAAAAAAGTATGGAAAGAAAAACCAAGGCATGGTAAAACATGTGGAAAAGAAGAAGACGAGGAAGAGGGGAAATTCTCAAAGCCATAGCTAGGTTTCTAAGATGCCAGGCAACCCAATGATTGAATTCAAAGGAAAAAATAAATAAATAACAACAATTTGACCTCATAAAAAATTAGATGACTTGATATATCATTCAGAATTCATACATTTAAAAAATTTCAATAGTTGTTTTGCTTCTGTAAGTTGCCTATTTAGGGAGGAGATCAGAATACTAATCTCCAATGTGAAAAAAAAATGTACACCTAAATATCAGTGAAGTACATGGTTTAACCTACTAGCTACTTTCTAGCACTGGTCTCTATTTATTAGGTAAGAATTTTCTGAGTTTTGAAAGAATAGGCTTTCTGAAGGTTGCAAAATTTCCCATAGTGACTGTTAAGACTTCACTACAGAACACTGTATTTTTTTAAGAAACTACCACTCACAGTATTTCAGATAAAATATAAATATGATCTACAAATGTGACATCTTCTGGGGTAAAGAATAAAATAAAGGCTGTGTCAGGAACAAAAGAGATTAATTTAATAGTATTTCAGGACTGTTAACTAACTCCTGGCATTTATGAAATATTAAGAGAAGGATTTATCTACTGACCTGAAAGGAAAATGAGAAAGCTATGTACTGAGACATACTAAAATATTTGTCTCAGCTTAGAGACTTTATAAATTAACATGCTTAAGAATCAGGCTTCAAATCATTTTTAAACATTTGAAAAGCTTGGTGTCCAGAAATATAAAGTGGATAAGGAGAAAAGAAGTGGCTGGATTACTCAACATAACATCTACAGTGGGTTAGGGTAGCAAAGAATAACTGCACAGGCATTTCTCCAAACCTGTTTGGTGCTATCAGTTCAGAGAAAACCATGCACATCCACATCCACATGCACATGCCCAAATGCACATACACCCACTGCTATAATTGGCTAGCCAAATCACAATGTCATTAGGAAATTCAAACATATATAGGTACTACTTTTTAAAGAAACTGGAGTATTTTAGCATCATCAGTGAATATTTGCTTCAGGGAAATCTTTAGAAAGCTATCTGAGGGATCATCCCATTTAAAAAAAATGGGTAAAATTTCTGGAAAGACCAAGTATTAAAAGTGGGTTTTTAGGTGTTAATTCAAATAAGGTTATGAAATATAATTATTTCAGCTTTTCTTTATTTTGCTATTTTTTACAATAAATATTATTTTCATAATAAGAAATACGGTTTATTCTAAACGAACTAAACCAAGAAAAGAAGATAATAAATACAAAATTCTGGGACAAAGTTTTTTAAAGAATGATGGAACATTTTCTGTGAGTCAGAAATCAGAGCTGTGGACCTTAGATTGCTCACAGTGTTGGTCAATTGGAAAGCAGATGAAACATTAACTTACATCCATGTAATTAATTCCCTAGAAAGTGCATCTATTTCGGGCCAGCTAACAACCAGGCAATTTGAAATATCAAGGAAAGAAGTAAGAAATAAAGGGAAGAAAGGGGAAGTAAGGAAAGATGGGAGGTAGGGAGGAAAAAAAAGTAAAAGATGAGAAAAAATGTGTATAAGATATGTAATAAATCTTATAATTAATTAAATCTCATATTGTATACTTCACCCTTCCTACATATAATACTATTTATTCTCACAGCAACTGTTTTTAAAATAGGTATAAGAAAAATTTACTTCTATAAAGACTAAATTTGAAAAATCAAAGAAAGACTAGCATATAGTTGACTCCACGGCTGGCATATAGAAAGATGATATGTCTTGCATATTGTTGATAAGCATTTTGCATGTTGGATATTCTAATGAACCTAGGGATGTGATTTATTTTATGAGTCATTGGGAAATAGAAGGTGAAAATAAAGCTGGCAGCTGTATAAAAGTAAGAATAGATAATTGGGGAAAGACAATAACTACACAAAATTGATAAAAACGCTAAACATGTAATACAGGTGAGCATTTAATGTCAAACATTTATACATTTCTTTGAAAGGTATTGCTGTATTATAGGTTGCTATAATATTAGAACTTCCAAATGATGAGGAAGGTGATTATGAAAATGTTATGTACCATACCCTTTGCTTCAGAAATCAGGTGTTCATCCTATTAAATTAAATAATTTATGTTTAAAAATACAAGTATTAATTTAAGCATTACCCAGGGTTGAAGGATACTAAAAGTTTCACATATTGCTGGTGGTATATCACATTGCACATTATTTGAGAGAAGTAATTTGTCTTTATTGTAAGCCATAAAGTTATTTGAACAATTTAATAAAGACCAGGAAATTTAAATATGAAAACATATGTAAATGTATACATATGAATAGACATATATGCTTATATGTTATGTTTAACATTAAATTAATGTTACCTCAATGCTTAACAATATGGCAATAGATAAGTAAATTATACTACATCTACTTTATCGAATATGATACACACATTAAAATATTGATCATAAATTGTCTGTCACTATAAAAATAGCTGTGATATTAAGAAAGTCAGAATATACAACAAGTATAAATTATGATTACAACTATATGGAATATGCATCAAATACAGCTTGGAAAATAAGAATCTAAAACTCAGAAACTCCACCATTGCATTCACCCAGAAACAGGGTTACCACATCCTTCCCAACCAGTACACTAATACTTAAATGAAGGTAAAGTTCTTTCTCTACAAAAGCTACTCTAGAAAGTTGAAAGAGGTGATTGTTTCACCAGATACACAGACATCAATGCAGGAATATTCAAGTTAGTGAAAGGAAAAAAAAAAAAGTCAAGCAGAAAGACTATACCCAGTAAAGCTATTATTTTGAAATGAGGGAAAAATAAAGTATTTCTCAGATAAGCAGAAACTGGAGGAATTTGTCACCACTAGGCCAGTATTATAAGAAATGCTCAAGGGAATCCAATATCTGGAAGTAAAAAGATGATAATGACCATCATGACAACATGCAAAAGTATCTGGCATAGCAGATACATGAAGGAGATAAAGAAAATAATTAATCCATATTACTGTAGGAAACTACCAATTAGCAATGATAAATGATAAGAGATGAAGACAGAAGCAAATATACAAAACAACCAAAAATCAACTAACAAAATGACAGGACTAAGTCCTCACTTATCAATAATAACCTTGAATATAAACAGATTAAAATTTCCACTTAAAAGATATAGACCAGATGAATGGATTTAAAAACATGCCCCAATTATATATGTATATATTTTCTGAACCAAATGGAAGAAAACTAGAAATCGTAACAAATAAAGCTTTTGAAACTATATGAAAACTCAAAATTTAAACATGTTCCCTAACAACCAATGTGTCAATAAAGAAATTATGAAAATTTAAAAATTTCTCAAAACAAATAAACATGGAAATGCAATATATAATATCAAAACAGCAAAAGCAGTATTGAGGGAAGTTTATAAATATAAATACCTACATCAAAAAGTAGAAAAATTTCAGATAAACAATCTAATGGTGATCTGAAAGAACGAGAAAATCAAGAACAAACCAAACCCCAAATGAGTCAAATAAATAAAATTATAAAAACACAGCAATAAAATTGTGACTAAAAAATTACAAAAGCAATAAAATAAAAAGTTGATTTTTTGAAAAGATAAACAAAATTGACAATTAAACTAACCAAGAAAAAACTCAAATAAAATAAAGCATGAATAAAAAGACATTACAACTGATGCCACAGAATCTAAAAGGCAATATGGGTTACACCAAGATTGTGGTATCGGCACATTTTGTCATTTAAAACAATTTTTTTATTATCCTGTACTACCTTAATTTAAAAAATCTGTGTAGTAGAATGTGTTATAAGTTATAAAACTGGGTATAAATGTCTACATATGTGTATTCATGCAAATGTCCACATATGTAAATAAATTCACTTGAAGTTTATTGGAGTTTATGTAAATAAAATAATCTGGAGAACTTTCCATCAAAAAAATGTTTAAAATATTTAAAGCAGTAGAGGCCTTTAAATAAACACTTTCCAATAGTAGGATTTACTATGTCTCATGTCACAGAGAGGTTTTGTTTTGTTTTTCATTATTTATTTATTTAATTGTTAATTTTGCTGAGTAATATGTTGTTTGCTGATATACAAAATATGTGTCTAGAGAATGGAAGCTGTGTGAGAATGGCTAATGCTGAATAAACATATTAGGGTGGCAGGAAATAAAGACTGGAATAAGAATTTTACTCTTAATCTTGTTTGTTATGTGAAAACATTAATGTATATTACCTAGAGGCATATTGTGATTATATTTGCATTTTTTAAAGTTTTTTTCTCATTTGAAGTCTTGATTCTAAACCAATTTAGCCTAGAGAAAGTGTTTGCATGGCTGGCCTTCTTCATGTCCTGGGAGCTTGGCTTCTGGTTGAGGTTGACCTGGCATACCTACCTCAGGCTACAGCTCCCTTAGCCACTGTGTTTCAGTGCTGTCCTTCCGGGGCACTGGGATTTCAGGGACATGCTCACAGAGGGACGGTTGGAACTTGAAGGAGCAGAGATGGGAAGAGTATGCAGAGGCTGCTCTGATGAAGTAGGTAAAAACACTTATAGCAATAAGAGGGTGGGGCTTGAGATGACAGCACAGGTTTTAGAAGTGTTTAAGAGGCAAACTGGCAATCTGAGAAGCATCAGTTTACATGCTATCTTTCATCAAAATGGAAGCCTAGTTTATATATACATTTAATCTTCCTAAGGAGATTTTAAAGTCCTTGCACATAAGTTATATTTTTTGAACTGTTGGTGTCCACCTCTCCGGTTAGACTGTGAAGTTTAAAGATTTTATTTTGTTTGTACTGAAAATATGTATTGTGAAAATGACTAAAATAACAGGAATAAATAGCATTAATGTTTTTCTCAAGAAAATAAAAACATAAAATTAAGAAATGCATTTCTACAGACTACCTAGAATGATTGTGTCAATTATGGCACAATAACAAAACTATGGAAATTTAAGGTAGATAATTCAGACATGTAATCCATTTTGGAGTTTGATCTATCCAGGTAATTATAATAAACAATGGAAAATTACCTTACTACTTCCAAAATGCCACTTAAAGTTTTGTAATGCATATCAAGGTAATTTCTTTAACATCTTTGAACCTTGGATAAGGGAAGAAATGTTCATGTATCAGCCTTTACATTTTTAAAAGTGCTATAGTATCCATTATGTCATCATGCTCTTAAATTCTTTCTACTACCAGTGAATTTGGTGATATTACCCTCCTGCCCTCACCCATGCTACTGATCCCGAGCTGAGAATTAGATAATGTAAATGCTTTGTTAAGGTGATATGGTAATACTCTGTGGTCTGATATAAAATAGGCATATGCCTTTAACATTAAGAACCTTAATGCTGTTTTGAGAGTTCAATAAAATGATATCATATTTTTTTTGCATGTGCCATACTTCCATTCTTTATGACTTGTTTTTAAAAGAATTATCACATATTATTAAGAATTATCACATATTATTAAAAATTATTTATCTTTTGCTATTTATACATGTTTTCAAAGAAAATGAGAATATAAACTTTGTCTAAAATTTATTTCCCGTTTGTTATTCTTATTCTACATCTAAGTATATGTGGAAGATTTTGACTGTATAATTTGAACTGAGACCTCTCTTTACTACATATTAATATTTATTTCAACTTTAGTCACATGAAAACGAATCCTACTAGTTAAAGATCGAGTTAAGTATTACTTAGCGTGTTGAAAGCTTTCATAATTTTGCTGAGGGTCTTTGACACTAGGATTTTAGAAATGAAGATCTATGTCCAACTAAAACTGAGAAGTGGCTGCTCCAGAGCATCAAATAATCTGATTAACCATGAACCACATCTGGTTAGGTTAGTCTGAATACATTCAGGCCTTCGCCCCTGTGTCTCTGGTTGGCTCTCCATTCAGATATCCTCATAGCTCTCATCCTCACCTCCTTAGGTCTTCACTCAAATGTCATCATAGAAAAGATAATGTCCCCAGTTACTCTCACTCTCACATGCTATATTCCCATTTTCCAATTTATTTTTATCCAAAAGCCCTTATTGGCATTTGATGTGTCTCATATTCTTCTACCCTATTAGTTGTTATCTGTAAATACCTATGCCTAATATCTGCCTCTCTTCACTAGAATGCAAGCTCTGTGAGACACAGTGTTTTTTAACATTTTGCTTAGTAGAGTATCCCCGTGTCCAGCATAGAGTAGACACCCAATACATCATTCTAATTGTTGAGTGAATTGAATCAATGAAAACAAAGATGTGGGTTCTACCAAACTTAAGTCACAGCCTAGACCTGCCTCCAATCCATAGGTAATTATTGGCAAAAGTTGTCCTACATGGTAGGGGTGTCCCAGAAAGAGGAAACCTGTAAGAAGAGGGTGTTTGAGGCCTAGCACCTGAAAGAGACTTGGAAGAGAAAGAATGGAGTGCAAAACATAACATCTAGATGCTCTTCCCAGCCAGATGAATGAAATTCGAGCCCTGCTCAAGTGGAAGCAGACTCAGGGCACTGAGAACTTAAAGTTTTAACTCAGCAGTATGCAGACGGTCACTCAATCTTTATGTATGTATGCAAGTATGTGTGTATGCATGTTGTATGTATGTATTATGTAGGTATTTATCTATCTATCTATATACTATGTTTGTCTATATACTTAGAAATAAGTACAAAGAGAATGGAATGTATCCTGGGACCCACCCTCCATAATAAAAAAGGGAAAGAATGAAAGTAGCAAATGCCTACCGGAAGTTTAGAATAAAAAGATTACATCTAGCAGGATCTGATGAGAAACCTACTGAAGTCTTCCAAAAATAACTGGCAGTAGGAAACTTTGTAGGGATCTGAAGCTCTGTGTGAGATATATGTCAAAACATCTTGAAAATGTGGGTATAGAAAGAAAGTATGGCCACATTTGAACTCACAGCCTTATGAGGCATAGGATGTAATATGGGGTACATAACCAACTGTAGAGGAATAACTGGAACAAAAGTGAAAATCATTTACAATTATTTAGAAATCATTTCAAATTATTAACTCTTCAGATACATAAAGATGAACACAAAATATTTTCATTTTACCAGACATTTAATCAGCACCTACTACAAACTAGGCAGTGAATTAGGCACCAGTAATATGAAGATAAATACAACAAATTCCTACCCTTGACACATTCAGGAACTCAGGGGTGTTGGAGATAATAAATAATTACTCCAGTGTGGCAATTTTTATAATAGAGATAAATGTAAGTCTCCTCAATTATGTAGATGATGATGAATACATTGTAAGTATACAGATATTGGTTAATAGTTTTAATTTATAAATCAACAGAAGAAAAAACTTTTACACTTATATAAAGAACTGGCTTGGAAATATAAAAATTAAAAATAATTTATAAAATATACTTATTCATTAATGATTTATTCACAATCCCCAAATTAATGACACCCACTTATTCATTTATCTATTATACAAACTCACAGTTTGCACACACCACCAGTAGAATATGTATAGAAAATTTCTTATGGTATGCCCTGATTAAACGAAGTGAAATTCCATTCAATATTGACAAGGTCAAGCAAACACTGATGTTAGGTGGAGGCAGTTTGTATAATTAAATCACAATATTAAAATGAAAAAAGCAATTTAAAAATGTCTGCTTTAGCTACCTAAAATTTTAGACAAAAAAGATGACTAAGTGAGACCAGAGACCAGTACTATTACTCTGAGAATTCTAAAAGAACTAAGAGCTCTACTATTCCTAGAACTGTAGTAACCAAAGTGTATGCAAGAACTTCCTTCTAATCCTGGATAATCCATAGAATCAAGTCACAAAGCCTGGGCTTTGGTCTCTCTACATCACAGTGATACAAGATCTCATTATAGGAGAGTCCTCAACACCTGTTATGACCTACTGATAATTGTGACAGCTTCTAATTATGACAACTGAATAGTGATAGAGCAATACAGGTAATAATGATGACTACAGTTCTCTAAAAGTACTGGAGGAAAAAAAAAGGGAAATAAGCAATGAAGGGAGAAAAAGAGGAAGACACACCACCAGCCAATAAAGCTTGAAGTTTTTGACTACTATATCAGTGTACAGTGATCAAGACCATCTTAAGTAATACTGAGATATCTGACATGAAGTGTAATAAAGCAAGGGCCATCCTTTCCTGAAAACTTTGTTAAGCTTCGCATTTCCTCCCCGTTAGCCAATCACTTAGCTTTCTCTAGGGTCCTTCTTCCTACATCCCATGTATATATTCCTATATTCTAGTGATCATGCAATCTCATACTTCTAACTCTCTAGTGACTCTGCAAACCTCACTACAGTGCCTCCTCACTCCTAGACCCAATTAGAGTTTGCTGATGCCAAAAAAAAATCAATATATTAACCAACTCCCAAGGAGATATTTTAAAACCCAAGCAAGTACAAGAAACACAGCTTTATTCTGTGGGTTAGAAGGTTGTCTTGCAAGTTATCTAGAAATTCCTATTAAGATTTACCACTCGAATTTCACCTAGAAAGATGCCTTCCATAAACTGTACTATTAGGAGAGCTGTCATCTTCATACATTTAAATGATCATATGAGTTATGTAGATCTGAAGAGCATGGCAGGAAACTGCAGCTGCATTTGTCCACACAGCAACTCTCTACAAAGGAAGCTTCTGTTCTCTACCTGAAGAAAATGGCTCTGTTTGCATCATGGATTTCAGAAGATTATTAAATTTCTTGCTGGCTGCATTCATTGGGATCATCTAATGTAGCTTTGAAGAATTGGGTATCAACAACAACAAAGAATAGTCACATTTCCCTTTCGCATTATTTTTCCAACTGGGATAGTTGTCTCAGGGGAAAAATTCAAGACCTAAAATACATGAGAAAAAATAAGATTTCCTGTGATTATGGGCCTCATCCCCTTAAGATATCTATGAAGAAAAGGCATGGCAAATACAGAGATTTTGATCAGATGCGTTCACTAGTGATTACAAAGGCATCTCACTTAGAACAGTTCTTCACCCATTCTACCAGCTTAATAATTATTTGTTGAAGAAAGGGATTAAGGAAGGAACGAAGTGATAAAGAGGACCTCTCTGGACAAACTTCTTTTACATGGAAAGGACACATTGAAGAGCTCCTCCATCTGTCCCACGAGCAAATGTGGCAAAATGTTAACAACTAGCGAATCTAAATAATAAATATACAGGTGTTTATTCTACTATTATTTCAACTTTTTGGAAGATTTGAAATGTTATACAAATAGAGTTGGGGGCAAACAAAATGATTGCATAATTGCTATATTGAGACCACATACTCCCACACCTATTTCTGTTGACCCCATTCCATTTGCTTCCACAGATAACCATTTTAATTAGTGTCCTGTGTATCCTTTCATTTAAAAAGTTTAGGTAGATAGAAGTAAATATGAATATTTATTCTCACATTTTTTTCTTATATAAAAGACATCATACCTGCTATGATTTGAGTGCTTGCCCCTTTCAAATTTCATGTTGATATTTAATTGCCATTGTAACAGTATTAAGAAGTGGGACATTTGAGAGGTGAATAGGTTGTGAAGGCTCCACCCTCATGGGTAGGGTTACTGTTATTACAAAAGGGTAAGTTTGGCCCTTTTTTGCCTCTGCCCTTCTGCCATGTAATGATGTGGCAAGAAGGCCCTCACCAGATGCCTGCACCTTGATCTTGGACTTCCCAGACTCCACAACTGTGAGAAAAAAGGTTTCATTCATTATAAATTATCCAGTCTGTGGTACCCTGATATAGTAGCACAAAATAGACTAAATCAATACTACATACAGCATTTGTTCCTTGCTCCCCTCCTTCCTTCTTCCTCTCCCTCTTTCTCTCATTGTTCCCCTCTTTCTTCCTTTCTCTTAGTTCAACAGTAAATCCTGGAAAATGTTTCATGTCAGTTCAAGGAGAGCTTTCTTATTCTTTTTTATCACAAAATATTTTAGAGTGATTAGACCATTGTATGTTTAACTGATTAGTTTTAAAATGCTGAAATTAACAACTTATATGTACGTTATTTCATGTACATGCAAGTGTGTCACTAAGGTAAATTCACAGAGGTTGGATTATCATGTATACAGGTAAATGCAGTCGTATTTTTAGTAGATATCTACAATTACTCTGCATGCTGTACCATTTTGTGCTCCTACTGGCCATGTTTCCAGAGTACTAGTTTTCCCACAGTCTCATCAATAGATTGTATTGCTCAACTTTTGTGTTTTTGCGACTTTCATAGTTGTGTCATCTCAGTATGGTTTCAACTTTAATTTTTCGGATAATCATTTACGTTTAGCATCATTTTCCATGATTATAAGCCATTTATATATTTTTCTGTACATTATTTATAGTTTTAGATATTTTTCAATTGTCTTTTGTGAATTTCTATAATTTCCTGTTTTTCATCTATAATGAAAATTACCACTTAATCTATACTTTGAGTAATATATCTTTCCCTGGTTTTTATTTGACTTTGACTATGGCATTTTTATCTTATCATTCGTTTATGGATTCCTGATTTTAAAAGACAGAAAAATGTTCCTTACTACAGAATTATATAGGAATTAGCCTTTTTTTTCCTTCTAATATTTATAAGATTTTGTGTTCATATTTAAATTTTTCATTCATTTGGATTTTCCTTGGTTCTCAATATTAGGGATGGATCCAACTTTAGCCGTTTCTAAAAGGCTACCCAATTGTCCAACTGCATTTATTTAAAAGTTCATTTTTCCATTTGACTTGAGATGCTATCTTCACCACATATATTTGTATCTCTTTCTGTACTTAAATTTGTCCATTGATCTGTCTATTTTTGTGCCAATATGCAATTCTTTTGATAAATAAGATTTTATATAATATGTCTTAATATCTAGTAGGGTTAATTCTTTATTGCTTTTTTCTTTCTAGAGTTTTTCTTAATATTATTTTTCATATAAATTTTAGAATAAGTCTGGTTTGGGGGGTCATATAGCAATAGGTAAATTGATTAATAAAGTGATTTGGTGAAGGTTTCACAATACATTTATGAATCAACTTCGGGAGAGTGGTTATGCTTATGTTTAGTCATTATATTTTAAAATGTGACATATCTTTCCATTTGTTTTAAGTCCTTGATCAAGCATTAGTTGCCTCCTCTGAGAATCTATAATTAAATTCAAGATAAAATAATTTTTTCCATTTATTGACCCATTTTTAGCTTACAATTTGTTTTCTACCCTTGTAAGTATTATGTTTGGTAAATTATTTTTTATTAATATCTCCCTTACAGATATTATACGCCATAAGGAAAGGAGTCACAGATTTGGTAATAGAGACTCAATACACGTTTGTTGGAATGATGAAAGCATTATGAGGCATATTTTCTTACTATGTTCACCTAATAATCTTAAAGTTATCAAGTTATTAAGTAGAGCCCATTCACAAGTCCAGATCTTTTGATTTTAAATCCTGTATTTTTCCATATTTTCAATATTTAATAGGGAAGTAACATGCTAAAATGCTATAGTTTTGCAATTTTATATCTTTCTTCCTCTAGGTAAATTAGCATTGTCACAATTAATTCTTGTGACTATGTAAAATCTAATATTAGTTACTATGGTATCAGGGGAAATGCTGTGTTTGGCCATCCGACTTTTTCTCACTAAGTCCAAATCAGACCTTCCTCATGAATATAATTATCATCATTAAAACAATAGATTACATATCAGGCACTGAACCCATGTTCCAACATTATTTCCTTAAACTTATGAACATTTTGATGTAGGTATTATTATATTACTTTTACAGATGAAGAAACTGAGGCTTATAGAATTTAAGCCAGGTGCACTGGCTCATGCCTGTAATCCCAGCACTTTGGGAGGCTGATAAGGATCACTTGAGGCCAAGAGTTGGAGACCAGCCTGGCCAACATGATGAAACCTCATCTCTACTAAAAGTCCAAAAAAAAAAATAGCCAGGTGTGGTGGTGGATGCCTGTAAAGCCAGCTAGTTGGGAGGCTGAGACAGGAGAATTGCTTGAACCCAGGAGGCAGAGGTTGCAGTGAGCCGAGATGGTGCCACTGCACTCCAGCCTGGGCAAGAGAGTGAGACTATGTCTCAAAACAAAAAACAAAAAACATTAAATTAGAATTTAAGCAACTTGCCCAAGGTCCTAGGATTAATCAGGGTCAGGGGTGAAGCAGGAAGCAGGAATCAAATCCAAATGGGCTTGGTATCAAACTCAAGTTTTTTGTGCTGAGCTGCTTTTCACGAAGATGACCACATATTCTGCCTTCATGTAAGGCCAGTTGTGCATTCCAAGGTTATTTTCTTAAAATTTCCAGTTTTCATTAAACAAGGATAGTTTCATCAAAAATTAGCAGGTCAATGTAAAGTGGTGCCGCCTTCTGTTAGTAAAGCATTCAATGTCATTATTTATTTTTAACCAAATGGCCCTTGGAGTTTTTAGTATTTCTTCTCTGTGAAAATGTATTTGCATCTCCTGTGGCTGAAAGAGGGTAATTAGTAATTCATGAATAATTTAGGAAACACTGGCTATAAGTTGTAGATATTTAAATAGTTCCCATAAATTACAGTCAAAACTATAATTTGTTCAATTGAAATTCTGTTAAAAGCTTGCATTTACATAGAATATCCAAATGCCAAATGTTGACATGCATTTTTAAAACCAACATATCAAGGCTATTTCCTTATTTAATTTAAATTAAATTCATATTCCATACCAGAAGCAATAAGGTTTGTTTGCTTTCATCAAGGGGAAAAAAGGCAAAACTATTTATGCACAGTTAGAGGCAAACACATGGAAATAACTGCAAACTTACCAAACATGACAGTAGAAAGAAATATTTAGCAAAAATAAAATGTCTGAATAACATATACAATACAAATATCTATTACAGAAATAAAACGTGTAGTGTCCTTTACAGAATTAACTATTAGAATAAAATTATAAGCAGAAATTGAAAAACTAAAGAGAAAATGTGGGAGTCAGGATAAGTATTAGATCTTACTATGAAATATTACAAGTACTTGAAGCAGAAATTCATAAAACTGATTTTTAAAACTACATCCATAAAAATCATTTCAAATGCCTGAACTAAATTGTAATCCATATTATCGTATTCGATATTATTCATTCATTTATTTGCTTAACAAAAATATATATAACATGTGCCTGTCATTCTTGAACATCCTGTTAGGTAATAAATCAAGCAATGGTCTGCCCTTTATAAGTTCGGTAATGCTTCACTTCCTCCCTCCCTCCCTTCCTTCCTTCCTTTCTTCCTTCCTGTTTTTCTTCCTGTCTTTTCTTGGCTTTTATATTTCATTAAATAATTCCTTTATTTATTCAAAAATTATTTACTGATTACCTACCTGCTACATTCTAGGCTATGTTCTTGGCTTTGAGGATAGAGCAGCTACCAGAGAAAAGTTTCTGCTTTCATTGACCTTTAGTGTCTACTGGAATACAGAAGTCATTAAAGCATGTCATGACTTACATGAGTATGCCTAGAATAAACAATGCAATGTTAAGTCACGGAAACTTGTCCTTATAATAAAATATTAAACTCATAGCTTTCTTTCAAAAATGATTTTGAGAATAATTTTCAATAAAACGACTGAAATAAACTGAAATTAGGTGGTTAAAATATGACAGTAAAGGTTCCTTTCTTAATTTATTCAACAAATCCCTGTTGAAAAGGTGCAAAGGTGGATCAAATATAGTTCTTGCTTTCAAGGGTCTTGTAAGGAGAGTGAAGTGAATTAGCAATTGTAGTATAGTGTGATTAGTGAAATGATTGAAAAAAACAGATACACATGGAACTATGGAGACACAGAAGGGAGTTAGATCATTGGTAAGATAGAGCAGGATAAGTAAAGTCCTCCTGTATACAGATGTTCAGCTGGAACTTTAAAGGATAATTTGATAACAAGATTAAGTGTGGAGAGTAGAGAGAAAAGAGTCCAGAAACAGGAAGCAGCACAAAGGTGAAGCTGGTCTTGAGGGCATCAGGTCAAAGCATCAGAAGACTGCTGTGTGCCACACAAGTCCCCTGCTCATGTGAGTTGGTACGATTATAATTACTGTGGCACAGCACTACCTACTCTCCCATATACAGATTTAATACTGTGACTTTATTGTAACTATATGTGCAAACTGTGAATTATTATTCACATTCCATTAATTATTATATTATAAGGCAGAACACATACTATAAACCATAAAACCTGTTGGAAAAAATTCCTTTTCAATTTCAAAATATTTCTTATATGTGCATTATTAGGAATACTTAAATGCTCATCACTGGTTTTCTTTCAAAAAGTAATTTCTTATTTTAGTGGCTCCAGATAGGCTCTATTCAGTTTGACACATATTTTAACTGTTAAATGTTATTTTTCTATTAAAATTCATAAAGTCAAGGAAGACTTCAATTCAATGCAAGCTAAATGTCTTACCTCCCACCTGTCATCTGCGCAAAGCATATAATTTCCCTAAAATTATGCAAAAATTCGCTAATTAAGATTTAATTTGCTAATCCTTGCTCAGTTAAACTAGTGGCATATGCAAATTGCCTGCTGAGCCCTTTTAAATTTTTGAAACAAACGATAAACAAAATTTCTTTTCAGTTTAAAAACATGTAAAGAATCTGGTGATTGACACAACATAGTGGTAGATAGTTGGATAAATACTTGCTATAGTTTATTAGAAGCAAATTTGTCAGAGTCATAAAAAGCTGATGAAATACATCCATAGGTATGTTAATTACAATGTTTCCAGGATGATAAAGGAATTAGGACAAGAGAAAATTAATAGTGGACCTCTTAAAGGGGAATATATTCTGATTCTTATTTATAAAATCGTAAGAATTTCTATAGGTTTTCTAAAACGTTGACTCATTGCTTTTTGTGTAAAACAAAATCCTATTCAATGAAAAACAGAAGACTATCTACCTTTAACAAAGGTCCAACTTTTCAGGGGTCTTACTTAAATATTCACACAATTCCTTAAGTCAATATGGCTTGTGAATGTTTTCTGGACCCAAATTATTCTAGTTGTTTTACTGAATTACTCAGTGTTAAAGCAGCTGTGTTGGTATTGTGTAGAAGTGGATTAACCAAGGGAAAGATATATTTTGTGTGCATGCGTGTGGTGGGGGAGATAAAGATGTCTCATATATGAGTTCCTATAAATATAATGATTGATTTTTTAAAATACTGTAATTAAACACACAGGACAACTTAAAGGGAACTGAATCTTAATTTTTGTTAAGATTCAACTGTTGACACACACAAGATACAATATTAATTTAAATAGTTGAATATCGTACTCTGAAGATCCCAAAAATGATATGAAAAGTTCTCATTTGTTTAGCATGTAAGATAGAACAAACTCTATTAGGCCTTTTACAAATGTTATTTAGAAACAATTTTGGAGCTCTAGTCTCCAGAACTATAAATCTGTGTTGCTTTTTAACCAATTAAGACTGTAGCAATTTGTTACAGTAGCAGTAGATAAGTCATACAGCTACTTATTATTATCAGTACCGCTACTATTTTTAAAGAACAGAGTTATTTTACAACTGAAATGGGTAAACTATGCTTATCTCCTGAAATGTCTGGATGTGTGGTTTTGACAATTGGTCAAATAAAGGGCAGTGTAATTGATCATGTTCTTGTTAAAATCAGAAATTCCACAAGGATGGGGTAGGGTCAGTTTGTTTACTGATGGCTTCATATGGTACAACAGATAAGATAGCCTGGCTGGTCTCTGTGACAACAGGAGGGAAAACTCACTAGAAATTTCTACTTTGAGTTCTTTTGAAGCCAAGATTTCACAGCACAGTTCTTGGTGGTTCACTCTGTAGACAAAAGGTTTCCATGTATACATAAGGACCCCAGAAAGCTTAAGCTTTTAAGAATGTTTCTCTACCAATGATACCTGATTGCACTATCTATTGCCATACATATCCTTTGCCTTTAAATAAAAGCCTTACGTGTGTATATTTGGTGGAATCTTGCAAGTTCCTTCAAATATCCAAATATGATAATTTTTTATCTTATGATAATATCCTGTGAATGTTCTAACTTTCTAAATTTGGTTGTAGACATTGCCCCAGCGATACCATCACCTCTCGTTACAGGAGTTCTTAGATACTTTAAGGAACTTTGCTATTCAACATCCTATTTCTTACACTAGGATATCACTTGTCACAATTTTATTTCTTAAATTTTTACATCCCCCAAAAGATTTATCTGAATGCACTATATACTGAATATTGTGTTCAGCAAACTGCAAGAGTATTGATTGAATTAATCCTGTAAACACACACACACACACACACACACACACACACACAGCACACAAAAATATATATAATCTCACAAAATACCATTTTTAACATTATTTGCATCATTGGCTTATATTTCATAAGCATACTTTCTTTTAAATGCTCATTAGAATTCTTCAGAGGATCCTCAAAACAATTGCCAATGTGGCAGATTAGCAAACATGCGAAGAGCCCACTTGCTATGAATTGCATTTCATGTTATAGCTGCAGAGGGTAATCAACCAGAAATTAATCCCTCTCATGTTGTGATCCATATAACTGTGAAGTGAAATGTGATCTTGACATTGGGAATTAGAGTTGCTTACAATCAGGCAGGAGTAATGCTATTCAAGTGACACCATTTTGTGAGGTTTCAATTAGTTCACACAATAGGGGGCTTCATGATGACAGGAGCATGAGTCAAACCAACATCAAGGGGTTATCAAAGCAGAATTGCTTCAAGGAATCAATCAACTCCTCTCTCTTTGCTCATCATTGAGTTTAGATGTTGCTCTCCAGAGTTGATTAATATGGAGTCTTGTGAATGTTTGGGTCTCAGATGTTGAAGTCTGGTGATCTTTCATTTTTTATGCTTCCTCCTGTAACATAGGCATCTCTTATTAAACTATAATGATCAAGGCATAAAGAATCCCTGCAGGATTAATGATCAGAGGAAGGAGTTGAGTGCACAAGAAGTTCCCAGTTATTAGTCCTCATTGACTAACCATTAATTCTTGAAAAATATACCCAAAGTCTTATTGCTTTCTGAATTAAATAGATGCTAAAACCAAAACTAAACTAAAAATCATCTCACATTCATTTTAAAAATTCACATATATTAAATGATCGGCATATTTGGTTATAATATAGATATTAAATAGACTATGCCAATTATATTAATCCATTTATTAATTCACATGACATAAATGTAACCAGGTATTTGCCATATGTCAAGCATTGTGTTAAATGATACTAACACAACATAGATAATAATTCTAGCATTTACAAAGATTTTATATATGCTAAGTCTCAAGACTATGATGTAAGTAGAGATTTAGACTTCTACCAAGAATTTGAATTGTCATTTCAGTGAGTTTACATCCTTCTTTAAAAACAAATGTTGGCTCATGCCTGTAATCCCAGCACTTTGGGAGGCCGAGGCGGGCAGATCACTAGGTCGGGAAATCTCTACTAAAAAATACAAAAAACTAGCCCAACCGTGGTGGCAGGCACCTGTAATCCCAGCTATTCAGGAAGCTGAGGCAGAAGAACTGCTTGAACCCGGGAGGCAGAGGGTGCAGTGAACTGAGATTGCCCCATTGCACTCCAGCCTGGGCAACAAGAATGAAACTCCGTCTCAAAAAACAAAAACAAAAACATATATAACGGAGTAATTAATTTAGTTGTGATTTTTAGTAGAAATATTGCTAAGCTTGTATTTAAGAGAACTTGAGATTCTTCATATTTGTGAATTTAACTCAGTATATTTAAGTACTTCCAAAGTTTTTTTTGGTTAAGTTGAAAAATTAAAGTACTTAAAAATGAAAATCAAGTACATTAAATTTAGAAATTCAATGTAAAATAATTGAAGGATCTTGAAAAACTTTGTTACTGACTAATATTATCAAAGACAATTTAGAAATAACTTTCAAAATATGCCATATTATAAATTTCTTAAATGTTAGCAAAATGAATTTAAAACATCATGAGAGCTAGATTTCTAATTGTAATACTGATAGTAATTAATAATTTAAAAAATACACCTCTGAATGACCATCTTTCCTAGGCTCCCAAAAGTTCTGTTGAGAATATTTAACAGCTTGTATTAACAATATAATATGGGTACTAATAACAAATCTGAAATAAAATATACCAAGTGTTTACAGTTTAGTCTTGACTTAATGGCTTTATATATTTTTGTACTTTCTCAATGTTCTACAGTCAATATATATAATTTTTATGTGAAAAATATCAAAGATTAGTCTTTTTATGAGATTAGACTGTGATTTACCTATTTCTCCTAGAAGTAGGTATAGCACCTAACCTTTAAAAAACGTAAAGACAGAAACTATTTTATATTTTGGAATTAAATTGTATCAAGTATTTTGCTGGTTCAAATAATATTCTACAATTGAATATTTGTTGAACAATCAGAACAAAATGTGTTTTGATTTAAATACACACAATTTGTAATGATATAAGACCATTTGGTCACACTTGCTGGCCTTTTCAATAAATATGTAATTGAAAAAAAAATCTTTGTTCACAAGAGGTAGGCCCTGGGCTGGATTAAGAAAACCTAATTGTAAGTTACCAATTCTGGAATCATGTAAGCATTTGGCCAAATGTAAGTCTGGACAAATGATGGAGCTCTGCTTCCCCATGAGCAAAATGGAATAACATCACAGGATTATTATAAATGCTTAAAGTCAAATATAAGTACAGTAATTAAACTATAAAATGCTACACAAATTGAAGGGTTGTTTTTTCTCCTTTAGATTCTTCATAGAAATGTCATAGTGTAGAAAATACGCTCTTTTATTTTCATGAAACTTAAAATTTAGATAGAGAAGCAAAGGATGCATTAAGAAAATAAAGAATAAAAAGTGGGAATGAATGGATAGTAGAAACAGGCAAAGAAGAAAAAAAACGTTAAGTTGACTTTCGGGAAAAGAAAGATAATTCTTTTGTGTAATATACCATAGACCAAGAACTGTGGTAAGCTTGAAATATAACACTGGCGATAGCATACCACTTAGTCTGAGATGTGCCACAATAAAGATGAATATATGCTGATTGCTAATAGGGTGTGCATGTGGCTTGGAGGGGTTATAAAGAGCTTCATGGTGATGTGTGTTCATAGTTTTGAAGAATTAACAGAAGTTCATCAGTCAGGGAAGAGGAGAAAGCTTATTGCAGGTAAAAGACAGAGAAGTAAGACATTGCTTGCCATGTTTGAGTATTGCTTTGATCCATTTCCCCAGTACTGCATGTTGAGCAAAGTTTGAAGATGAAGGATTCTGCAACACTGGAGGGTGACTAAATTCCAGGAAATACAGAGAAAAGCATTGGGTTGCTGCTATACACCTTGATAGCTCCTTTTTATGGTTATGCTTTTATTCTCTTGGGTACCAATGCATTTCTCTATGCAATGAAATATTAACTAAAAATCAATATATTTAAAGCAGGGGTTCTATGAAGTTTCAGTTGGTTTTCAGGCAAATAATTTTCACTCTAAGTGATGCTGCTTGAAGGAAAAATAATGCTTTTAATAAAATACCTATTACCAGCTAATGACTCAGTTGTAAGGGATCTCAAAATGACTGGAAAATTTTCTGTATCAAAGCTAATGACCACATAGTCCCAGATAGCAAATTCTCAAGTTACACTGCTTTCTTTGCCTTTTGCAGTAGTTTGCTTGTTTTACCATTAGTGTTTTTCTTAACAGTAGAACTATGTAATACTGCAAAGAATTCACTGGAGATCAATTAGAAGAAATAGAATCATCATTGCTGACAGGTGTATAATTATTCTGACAGTAAAAATCACTTACTAACTCATCTGGGAAAAAAAATAGCCAAAACTAACCTTTGGGAAGAAGCCAACCAAGATTTGCTGTTTTAAATTCTATTGCCAATAACAGCAATTTTATTTCTTTATGCATAATGAAATAATTATTTGTTCATATACAGACTCTTACATTTCCCTTGGGAATATCTACAGAAAGGAAATATATACAAATTATTTTAATAGGACTTTAAAAATTGCCTTGGAAAGATTAAATAGCACCAAATAATAATTTCGCCTCAAAGAAAAGGATAGTTTTAGGAAAGAGTAGAAAGAGAGACTATTTGAGTACTGAATAGCATCAACCTTCAACATCCATGGGATAAACTCTCAGGGTGTGTGTGTGTGTGTGTGTGTGTGTGTGTGTGTGATATTTCCCTAAGTCTATTGAGATATAACCCACACACCATACAATTCACACATTTAAAGTATACAATTCAATACTTCTTTTGCATATTCACAATGTGGCACTACCATCAATTTTAGAGCCTTTTATTACCCCTAAAAGAAACCCCGTGCCCATAAACAGTCACTCTCATCCTGCTTACCTTCTTGCCAACCCTAAGCAACCACTAATTTACTTCCTGTAGATTATAATTTTTTAAATGTAAACATGTAAAGAAAATAATTAATTTTTGTAAAGATTATGAGGTATGGATTCAACTTCATTCTTTTGCATACAGTTACCCAGGTGTCTCAGTATCATTTGTTGGAAAAAAAAGTACTTTCCAATTGAATAATCATGGCACCTTGTCTAAGAACAATGAATCATAGATACATGGGTTTATTTCTGGATCCAGTTCTATACTATTGATCCATGTATCTTTCCTTATATCAATATCATATTGTGTATGGGTTTGTTGTTGTTTTTCTTTTTAATTGAGGCAGTCTCGCTCTATTACCCAGGCTAGAGTGCAATGGTGTGATCATGACTCACTGCAGCCTCAACCTCCTGACTCAAGTGATCCTCTCTTCTCAGCTTCCTAAGAACCTGGGACTACAGTCATGTGTCATCATGCCTGGTGAGTTTTTTTTTTTTTTTTTTTTTAAAGTTTTGTAGAGGCAAGCTCTCACTATGTTGCCCAGGCTGGTCTCCAACTCTAGGGCTCAAGCCATAATCCTGCCTCAGCCTTCCAAAGTGCTGTGATTACAGGTATGACCCACCATACCCAGCCCATACTGTCATTATAACTGTAGCATCGTAACAAGTTTTGAATTCAGAAAGTGTGTGCCCTCTTTGTTCTTCTTTATCAAGATTTTTTTGACTATTTCTGATCACTTCAATTTCCATATAAAATTTAGGATCAGTTTGTCAATTTCTTTAAAAAAATTCGAATAAGGACTAGGTTGATACCTTAATTTGGGGAAAATTGACTCCTTACAAGATTAAACCTCCTGATTCACAAACATGGAGAAAATAAATGTCTTTCCATTTATTTCAATCTACTTTCTTTAAACAATGTTTTACAATTTTCAGTAAATAAATCTTGTGCTTATCTTGATATACTTATGTGTAAGTATTTTTAGGTTTTCATATCAGGGTTATACTGGTCTCTTAGAATGACTTGGAAAATGTTCCCATTTCTTGTGTTTTATGGAAGAGTTTGTGAAGAATTTCTATTAATTATTTTTAAATGTTTTATAGATTTCACCAGTGGAGCTACCTGGGCCTGAGATTTTCTTTATCAGAGATTTTTTGCTTAAAAATTCAATACATTTACTTGTTTTAAGTCAACTCAGATTTTCTATTTTTCTTCCTTTGGTTTCAGTAGTTTGTGTTTTTCTAGGAAGTTTTCCATTTTATATATTATCTAATAAGTTGACATATAGTTGTTAAGTGTTCTCTTATACTATAAACAAAGAACTGAGTAAATAAGGAAGATACTTCAAAATAATAAAGGTCATATATGGCAAAACTACAGCTAACAACCTGCTGAACAGGGAAAAATTGAAGGCCTTTCTTCTAAGATGTGGAACAAGAAAAGGATGCCTACTTTCACCACTTTTATTCAACATAATAGGAGAATTTCTGGCTAAAGCAATCAGGCAAGAAAAAGAAATAAAAGGCATAAATTAGGGAAAGAAGTCAAATTAGCTTCACTCACAGGTGATCTCATACCTAGAGAAACCTAAAGACTCCACCAAAGAAAAAAAAAAACTGTTAGAACTGATAAACAAATTCAGTTCACACAAAAGTCAGTAGCATCTATACATGCTAACCAGCATACAATCTGAATAAGAAATCAAAAAAGCAATTCCATTCACAGTAGCTGCAAGAAATATAAAATATCAAGACTCAATCTAACCAAATAAGTGAAAGATCTATATGAAGAAAATTATAAAATTCTGATGAGACAAACTGAACAGGTAACAAAAAATGGAAATATATTGCATCCTCATGGATTGGAATAATTAACATTGTTTAATGATAATACTACTCAAAGCAATTTACAGATTCAGTGCAATCCCTGTCAAAATACCAACAGCATTCTTCATAAGAATAGAAAAAAAAATCCTAAAGTTTATATGAGCCACAAAATATCCCAAATAGCAAAAGCTGATGTCTGGCCCTTTTGTTACTGTACCCAGCTGTTGGGCTTCCCTATTGTTATCGCATTGCTCTTTTGATTTTTACATTGTCCTGTGGCATAATCATTCCACAGTTTTAGCCAATTAAAGGTGTGCCTCTTTGCAGAGATAGTTTTTGAGACCAATTTGGTTTGACCCCAGGAAGACTTTTCACCATTCTTTCCCTGATTTGTTCTGGTAAACTTGCTGACATGTGGTTTAAGCTTTTGCTCTTATACTAGCATTTTTAAATTAATCATCACCAAAACCTCCAGGCTTGAATTTTCCCACACACTGTTTCAAATGAAGTCAGTTCCTTTGGGGCAAGCTTCAGAACTGTCTATTCTTTGGACTGCCTTTCCCCACTGGGCAAAATCTTGAAGTCACTGATGAGAAGCTAGGAGTGGGAATAGTGGCTTCCCTCAAAATGACACAGCTGCCTTATGAGAACAGTCCTGGGCAGTGGCAATAATCTCTAGGCTTTTTGGATCACCTCTCCAGGTGTGGAATCTTGGCCTTATGAGTGAGTTGGAGACAGGACAGAGCTACAGAATTCTTTGCTTTCTGCATCTGGAGTACAGATTCTACTTTGTGACTTGGTCCTTTGGTGGTTGGGGGAAGGAGGACCCAGTTCAACAGGTTGCACCTGCTCTGTAGGAGATTGGTCAGGGTGGTGGGAAAAATTATAGGAAAGATGCAAACCTTCTTGGAAGGCTGGGAGGTTTTGCAAAAGCTTTGGGAGAGGATTATAGCTGAAGATAGTTAAATTCTCTTATTCAGAGACTGAGAGCGAAGGGTACATAACAAGGGAATATAAAGGAACATATCTAGATAAATCTGTTTACTTTTGTCTCCAGAAACCAACCTTTGATTATTCGCGTGCAGGACTGCTCTCTACTTGGAGGTTGACAATGTTAATTACCCACAAATTGTGTTTGCTCCAAGCTTTTCTCATTAAATTTGTACTAAAATAAATGTGAGCATTGCCGCCCTATGGTGGCTGCACTCTTGTCAGTGGTGTTAAGCAGTGCAATCCCCTAGCTGAACTGTCAAGCAAAATACCTGTGTTAGCATACTTCATTCATCCGTCACTCGGCCAGAGTCTGCAGGACAGACTTGGCGGCAGGTGGTGCCCCACGTGAGGAATGCTGCAACGGATCGTGACAGAACCCTCGAAAACCAAGGTGAAGAGACCGCGCAGTCAGTAAGTCATTGGTGCCTGCTTGGGATTTCCAAGTTCAAGGGAATTGTTCAGGCTAGGGTTTCATCATAGGACAACAGTTATCAGCTCAACAGCAACAGTATATAAAAGTATTGAAACAGCTGCTTAAAGGTAGCAGAGCCTTGATTTCTCAGGCTCAATTAAGAGACCTCACGCAAACAGTTATTTTCTATAACCCATGGTTCCCAGAAGAAGACATGCGAGATGTAGAGCTCTGGGAACAAGTGGGTAAAAATCTTAAACAACATCATGCACAAGGGCAACAGGCCCCAGTAACATCTCTAATGTTATGGGCCTTAGTTAGGGCTGCTTTGGTCCCACTGTACAAAGAAGAGCCTAAAAAGGGAAGGGAGGAGGAACTGTCACCTACCTTACTGCCTCCTCCTCCTCCTCCTGGCCCGGCCATTACCAGGCAAAAATACCTAAGAGGAAACAGAGGTTTTGCCTGAGCCCCCTCCTCCAATAAATTGGAAATAGGACAAGGGATATGCTACAGCTATGGGACGCTGTCTTAGGCAAGTGGCATTAGAAGGGGAGCTCTTGGCCTGCCTGGTAATGCAAGATCAACAAGGCAATCAGTTGTATGAACCCATTTCTTTTGACGTTTATAAAGAGACAAGAAAAAGCATTAGAGAAAACAGCTGCTAGCCCATTTATGAAAGGATTAATTGAAGCCATAGCAGACAACTTCCATATGTCCCCATGGGACTGGTCGGTGCTAGCCAAAACAACTTTAGAGCCAAGCCAATACCTCCTCTGGAAAGCAGAATATGATGAGTTGTGCAAACAACAAGCCAAACAGAATCAAGTGGCCAGGCAAGACATAACAGCTGCTATGCTCCAGGGGAGGGGTCCCTATGCCAATGTACAACAACAATTAAGTTTTGTTCCCCAAGCCTAGGCACAAGTGTCTTTCTGCGCTCTCACAGCTTTGGACTGAATTCCTGAAAGTGGAGTTCAACAGGGATCTTTTATAAATGTTCAGCAAGGGCCTCAGGAACCATTTGTTGAATTTATCAATCGGTTAACTCAGGCAATTAAGAGACAAGTTAGTCATGCCCCAGCCACTGATATCTTATTGTTGCCGGTGGCTTATGAAAATGTTAATGTCGACTGCTGACAAGCAATGCTGGCAATCAGAGGAAAGGCAGCCACAGCTGGGGGACTTGTACAGGCATGTCAACTGGTGGGGTCTGAAACACACAAAGCCAAAATATTGGCTATGGCATTACAGCCTCCTAAAGTGAAAAGGGAGAAAAACCCAAATTGTTCTCTATGTGAAGAGCCAGGTCATATGAAGAGGGAATGCCCCAATAGTAGAGACCAACGTAACTCAGGAAAAGAACCCCCTTCTATATGTCCCCACTGTAAAAAGGGGAAACATTAAGCAAATCAATGCAAGTCCAAATTTGATAAACACGGCAACCCCCTAAGTAATCAGGCAGGAAACTTCATAAGGGGCCAGTCCCAGGCCCTGCTTCAAACTGCAGCAATGCCAGTGGCCTTCCTCAGTCAGATGGAAAGCCCACTGTTCTCTTTCTCAGAGCGGCCCCCTCTGGGAGTGCAGGACTGGATTTACTCTGCCCCAACGAATTAGTGCTAAAAGAAGGAGAAGACCCTAAAAGGGTTGCAACCGGGATCTGGGGCCCACTGCCTCTGTGAATAGTGGGATCAGTCCTAGGGTGATCAAGCCTATCCAGTAAAGGAATTAATGTGCTCACTGGGGTAATTGATAGTAATTACCAAGGTGAGATGTTAGTTATGATGGAATGTAAAAGTCTGCATATTCTTCCCCCTGGATCAAAGATAGCTCAGTTACTGCTTTTACCAAACTGGGTCCCCAAATCCCAGGGAAAGGAAAGGGGAAAGGGAAGTTTTGGGAGCACGGGAGCCACAGGAGAATATTGGAACCAATTAATCACTGATCAAAGACCCATGATTACCTTAAAAATTGGAAAAAAAAATTGTACTTGCTTATTGGACACAGGGGCAGATATTTTAATCATTAGTGATCAAAACTGGCCAGAAACTTGACCTTGGGTCACTCAAAAACAAAAAATTGTCAGCATCGGGGAAGTGCACACAGCCAAACAGAGCACACATCCCCTAACATGTTGTGATTCGGAGGGAAGAAAAGCAGTTATACAACCTTTAATCATCCCCATCCCTGTTAATCTTTGGGGACAGGACTATTAGCCCAATGGGGGTCACTCTGCAGACACCTTTCTAATAATGGCCACTGTTATTATTCCTCCCCTACCCTTAATGTGGCTCTCTCAAGATCCAATTTGGGTAGATCAGTAGCCTTTAAAGGGAGAGAAATTACAAAGAGCCCCCATGAATTAGGTGAGAAGCAACTAAAAGCCAGCCATATAGAACCATCAAACAGCCCTTGGAATTCGCCCATTTTCATCATTCCCAAGAGGTCTGGCAAATGGAGACTTTTGCATGACTTATGGGCTATTAATGCTAGTTTGCAACCTATGAGGCCCCTTCAACAGGAGCTCCCTTTCCCCACAGCAATTCCTCAAGATTGGCCTATAGTCGTTATTGACTTAAAAGACTGCTTATATACTATTCCCCTTGCAGAACAAGACAGAGAAAATTTGTGTTTACCATACCAGCTATCAATAATGAAAGGCCAGCTTGCTGATTTCATTGGAAAGTTCTTCCTCAAGGGATGCTACACAGTCATACCATGAGTCATTATCATGTAAATCAGGCTTTGCTCCCCAGTAGAAAAAAATTTCCTAATTGCAAGATTATTCGTTTTATGGATAATATTTAACTAGCAGCACCAACGGAGCCAGTACTTTTAAGTTTATATGCGTCTGTCATAAAGACTACACAATTGAGAAATTTAATCATTGCACCTGAAAAAATACAAATGTCCTCTCCTTGGAAATATCTTGGATACATACTAACTTCCCAGTCAGTAAGACCTCAAAAGGTTAAATTAAATACTAGCAACTTACACACCTTAAATGATTATCAAAAATTACTAGGTGATATTAATTGGATTCACCCCATCTTAGGCCTAACTACTGATAAGTTACAAAACCTCTTTTTTATCCTAAAGGGCAATACAGCCCTAGACTCTCCCAGGTATTTAACCTCTGCAGCAAAAAAGGAAAATGAGAAAATAGAACAAGCTATTTCTCAGAGGCAACTAGATCACACAGACCCACAATACTCAGTTCAATTGTTTGTTTTTCCTGCTAAATATTCCACAACAGGATTAATAGGACAGATGGCCCCAGGGCTGCGCTTCCTAGAATGGGTTTTTTGCTCACATGCTGGGACTAAAACACTATCTCCCTATATCCAGCTAGTTAGTAAAGCTATCTATTCAGGCTGCAGATGATGCAATCAGTTGCTAGATTATGACCCTGATGTCATAAGAATTCCCTTGAGTAAAAAGCAATTTGAAGCAGTATTGCCCCTATCTCTAGATCTTCAGATAGCACTCTCTGACTGTGCAGTCATATAGCAGGAGCATGCCTTCCTGCTGACAAACTATTTCAGTTCTTATCTTGTACTCCTGTAGTTGTGCCTGCAAAAGTAGTTCACTCCATCATATCTAACACTTTAATGCTTTTTACTGACGGTTCTGGTAAAAATGGAAAAGCGCCTATTAGGTGGAAACCACATAATTCCATCACTCATTTCGGATTTACTAGCACTCAAAGCACTGACGTTGGAGGCTTTATATTGGCTCTGGAAACCTTTTCTACTCAGACTATCAATATTGTTAGTGACTCTGCTTACTCTATTGCAGAACTTTGAGACAGCCCTCATTAAGTCCACTCTTGAGCCCACCCTGTGTGCACTTTTCCTTCGACTTCAGCAATTCCCAGATCAACATACACATCCTATTTTTATCATACATATTCGAGCCCACAACTCACTGCCTGGCCCAACAGCTTATGGCAATGATCAAGCAGACCTGCAGATTACGATGCCACTGCTTGACCAAGCCACCCAATCACATCAATTTTTCCATCAAAATTGGAGAAACTAAACAATTTCAACTTACCCAAAGACTAGCTAAACAAATTATCCTGCAATGCCCAGATTGTCAGCTCACAGGCATGTCCCCTCCTTCAACAGGTGTTAACCCTAGAGGACTAGAACCTAATTAGTTATGGCAAACAGATGTTACTCATGTCCCTGAATATGAAAAACTTAGATATGTACATGTATCCATTGATACCAATTCTCACTTAATTGGCACTCATGCTCTTCCTGGAGAGTCCACCCAATATGTTATTAAGCATCTTCTCTTAACTTTTGGGTTTATCGGGTGGGTCCACAAAAATTAAAATTGATAATGGTCCAGCTTATATCAGCTCACAATTTCAACAATTTTGTCACCAAAGAACATCCAGCATTCCACAGGCATCCTATATAACCCCCAAGGCCATAGTAGAATGTATCCATTCCACTCTAAAAATATGCTCAGAAAACAAAGAAGGGGCAATATTAGTAAGGACCCTGCAACACTACTAGCACAAGCCTTATTTACCCTTAATTTTTAAATTTAGATAAATTTTAATCAGCTATAGAAAAGCACTTTGCTAAAACCTCTCAGAACATAAAACCCGGGGTTTTATGGAACGATGTAAATAATAATGTATGGTGTGGTCTACATGATTTGCTAACATGGGGAAGAGGATATGCTTGTGTTCACACCCCCTCCGGTCCTCTTTGGATTCCAGCATGATGCATCAAACATACCATGGCATGGCTAGGACCCAACCTAGTACCAGAAATGAAGGAATTGACCCTGGAGGAACTGCAACCCTGGACGATGCAGCGTACTCGGACAACACAAGTCCCGAACATCACCTGGGAGATGCCGAAGAAGACAACTTAGCGGGCTGAACGAATTCTGCTCCAGACACAGACACCATTCACTGCAGATAACTTGTTCCTTGCTGTGCTCTCTGTTGTACATTGCAACTCATGTAGGGTATTGATCCTTTTTATGCTCTCACTTCGTCTGCAACCTGTACCTGCTACACTCTGTTGGGATCATCTCTTAGATCCACCTTTCTTCCACCCTGTTACCTGGGCAGACACCCCCTTCCCAGCCTCTAATAACATAACTGCTTGGCTAGGAGGGACTGACTTACCCCCAGTGGGGTCCCCCATTAATGGCACACATTGGACTAAGGTGCCAGGTAACACTACATATGATTCCACTATCCTCCCACTGTTTGTAAGTGATAAAAGTTCTACCCTTAATGTGTACCTGCCTAAACACAATTATAGCTACATCATGGCCAAGGGAATTCCTTAACAGACATGGTTGCAGGTATCCTCAAACCAGGCAATGCAATAAATGCCACTTTCCCCAACATTCCTTCCTGTGCTAAAGAATGTAGCCAGGAAAGCGATGGATTCCACTTTGGCTGGGAGGTTTTTCATGGGGGACAACACCGTAGCCTCTACTTAGGCAATTATATCATCTTAGACTGGGACTCCTACTGCCATTTGCAGAGCGACCATACTGATGTCCACATCCATGGTGGCATCAATCACAGTTTCGCAGCCTCATCCCATTCCCCTATAATTTGGGCCAATGGGGGCATGGCCCAATATCTCAGACCCCAAATAGAATCCATGCCACCCCAAGACACTTTATGGCACCTGGGACATCTTAGTACCTCCCTTGACACCTGGCATGGGACATATCATAATTCCAGTAACAATTTTAGTATGATCTTTATTCACAATCACACAGATCAGTGTGTAATTTGCACTACCCATCCATATGTTTTCCTTATGGGAACCAATATTTCCACTACAGCCCAAAACTCCACATTTGTGACCCGAGTGCAAGGACAGGCTTGGTTTGCCTCATGTATCACTAATTACGATATATCTAATTTAAATATTACTAGTGTCATGGTATTAAGGAGACAATCTGAGGCATTCCTACCAGTCGATTTGACATGTGATTGGCAAGGTTCCTCTGCCCTTGCCACCTTAGAATGCGCCCTGTCCCAGGTCAGACATGGAAGATTCATAGGCACACTTATAGCCTTTATAGTCTCAGCCATAGTCATCTTGGCAACTGCTAGTGTTGCCGTGGCCTCTATTACTGAATCAGTACAAACAGCTACCTTTGTAGATAACTTGGCCAGAAATGTGTCTAACAAGCTTCTCTTATAGCAGGGTATAGATCAAAAGCACCTTGCATGTCTGCAAGCCCTCAAGGCTGCCTTGGAATATGTAGGGGAGCCGCAAGATGCACTGGCATTCCGACAGCAATTAAACTGTGACTGGGAGCAAAAGCATATCTATGTCACCTCTCTACCTTGGAATCAATCAATACATAGTTGGGATGAAGTAAAACAACACCTCTGGCGAACCTTACATGATAATTTAACAGCAGATTCAAGGCAACTTAAAACTAAAATTCTAGACTCCCTAAACGCCATAGATCTACACACCCAACAAACAGCCACATGGAAGGATGTGTGAGAACATCTCTCCTGGATAGATCCCCACTCCGGCGGGGGCGGGTGTCACTCCTTCATTGGAAAAGGATGTTACTGATTATTCTCAGGTTTGTCTTATGTTATTTACTAATTCTAGGATGCAAAGCTGGAAAACGAGTTATAACCGCTGCACCTTACAAACCTGTTCCTGCACACACACCTGTACTCTTCAATCAATAAAACCTGATGCAAAAAACGGAAAAGGGGGAGATGTAGGAGATTGGTCAGGGTGGTGAGAAAAATTATAGGAAAGATACAAACCTTGGAAGGCTGGGAGGTTTTGCAAAAGCTTTGGGAGAGGATTATAGCTGAAGGCAGTTAAATTCTCTTATCTGGAGGCTGAGAGCAAAGGGTAGATAACAAGGGAATGTAAAGGAACTTATCTAGATAAATCTGTTTACTTATGTCTCCAGAAACCAACCTTTGATCATTTGCATGCAGGACTGCTCTCTACTCCGAGGATCAACAATGTTAATTACCCACAAATTGTGTTTGCTCCAAGCTTTTGTCATTAAATCTGTACTAAAATAAATGTGAACATGGCTGGCTTATGGGGGCTGCACTCTCATCAGCGGTGCTAAGTGGTGTGGTCCCCTAGCTGGGCTGTCAAGCAAAATACCTGTGTCAGCATACTTCATTCATCCATTGCTCTGCCAGAGTCTGCAGGATAGACTTGGTGGCACTGCTCTATCCCAGAGATTCTGCAACCTGAGGATAGATTGAATGAGAAATGCAAGCAGCATGCCCCTCTTAGGGTAAAACCATAACATCAGACTGGGATCTTGCAGGAGAAGAAACTCCACAGATGATGGATGAGGCAATGGTAATAGAGTGGGTTGTGCCATGGACAATTGCTGTTCTTAGCAAGATTTAGTAAATGTTCTTGAATAAATATTTCTTTATTGGTTGTATGCCTTTAGTACAGATTCTGGTGACTTTAAATTCGTTTTTAGAATAATTTATATAAGTTAAAATTCTGATTTTCCTGGAAAGAGGATTTGCTATACTCCTTACTCCCCCAATCTGGATGTCCTACCTCTTTTAGATGATTTCTTTTAAGGAAATCAGTTTATATGTACCTCCTGGGACATTACTAGTAGAAATGATGTAACCCTAGATATACTTACTTTTCAAGGTTGGGAGACAAGAATGACATTTACTCATTATACTGCACCAGATATGGTTCTAAATAACTTACATTCAAGCTTTCATATTTACTCCTTGAAATAATGTTTACTTCACTATACCATTGCCTTCTTTAGTAGCCACTGAAGGTGGCTTCAACAACTCAGAACAGTTAACAGTCATTGTTTAAATTCTAAGCTAAGCATTGTAGTTACAAAGCCTTCTGTTAACATTAGAAAAAATTTCACTTAACAGCTCTGGCAGCCATACCAGACATTACTAACAGCTCCAACTTGGGAGCTTACCTCCCTGCATCAGAATCTGGGAGAAGTTACTTGACCTTCTGAACCTATTTCCTTATTTGGCATCTACCCACCTTTCCATTCTCAATTATCATCAAGCTTCCCCCCAGTATGTAAGTTCCTATTACAGGTGAACAGTTTACAGCTCTTTTAATGAGAATATTGTTTCATATATTTATTTTTTATATACCTCTTTGTTCTGGCTTTATTGTCTTTCGTCTTTGTTAGAATTTGAAGATACACTTCAGCATCCAAATTAAAAATCAACTCTTCAACCCAGTAATGATGATAACTTTCTTTCATTTTTCTCACCATTATACCTTATATAGCTCTCTTGTTACAAATAATAATTTAAGATTCCATTTCCTTGCCACACAGGAATTTCATTAAAAATAGGAACTTTCCTCTTCCTAACTGCATGCCTGTTGCATGCAAGTATTGAACACATTTGTTGCATTGGATCGAACTGAATCAAGAGTTGCAAAATCACATTCAGAAGCAAAGGTCAAATGAAGTTTTTCTTCTTCATAATGAGTATATATATATGCATTCTCTGCTTAGAAAACACAGGTCTAGGTTGGCAAGTCAGAATGATTGTGTCTTTTCCAGGTCATTGTATTAGGATGGAAAAGAACATATAGTCTTTAGCAAGTGCACTTTTTTTAATTGTTAAATTAAATCCTCTACTTCTGGGCCTGAATATATGCTGGTCCTCTAACTTAAAAAGTTATTGTGTTCTGTCCCAGGTGCACAGCTTCCTCTGTTGTTCCTGCCTCCTTGATGTCATGTTTTAGCAATGCCAAATTCACTCACACAAATGCTCTCATACTTTCTTGAATCTCTGTATAGGCTGTTACCCCTGTCATGACAACTTCCATCTCTATTCTCAGCTTACCCACATGGAAAACTGTAATTTATTATTTAGAGCTCAGTTTAATCTGTTTAATCTATGATGTAGTTCCTCACTTACTTACACAAGCCAGTTTAGACATTTTTTCCCTTTTGCTTCCACTGAAATGTGTAGAAATGACATGATGATACTGTAATTGTTGTGCAATTTATATAAGTTATTTGAGGCCATAGAATGGTTATTTCATTTTTGAATTCTAAGACCATAGCATGGTTCCTGAGACATGTTGGGACCTCAATAAATATTTGTTAAATTAATGAATTGTAAATTCATTGTCAGCTTAAGATTTTCTTACTCTTGCCTTTCCTACAAAATAAATATTAACCTAATCATAAAAATTACCTCTTCTTTCAGGTAAATGTTAAATGTTTGACAGTATAAAAAAATGTAAAAAAGAAAATCTGAAAACAATTATTTTAACATAAAATAATAGCATTTAGAAGAACATTCCAGATTTGAGTACTGAAGATTACAATTACATTAAGAAGCTTAAATTATAGAATTTCTATAAAGAAGGGGTTGGGAAGGGTTTTTATTTGCTTAGTGGTACCTACATTGGCATATGAAAAGGCAAATGCTGTAGTATTAAGGAAAGCTTTTATTAGCACATGTTAATAACTATTTTACAAATACCCACTGAATGGAAAGTACTGGCATCATTAGCAGTAAGTCAACTTTAATACTAACTGATGGAGGTGAGGTGAGGAAAGATGTGGGCAGGTTATTGTCTTGAAATAAATTTAAAGAGATTTTCCTTATGTTTGCACGAAATTAAAAAGTAAAATTTTATTTCAAAATCCATGATATTATTTAATATAGTAATTAATTTGGGTAGTCTAATGCAGTAGCAGAATAGTATATCACATTAACTATAGATTTACTATATTTTATGTAGTCATTCTTCTATGGTTGGATACTTAGGCATTTTATCTTTGTCTATAAAGCTTTTTTATGCTTTATTATTTTTAATATTTTGGATGCATTTTTTGTTAGAAGTTGTATTTGAGAGATGATATGGATGAATATTTTAAAATAATGAGACATTATCAAGACATTACATATCTGATAAGAGTCTAGTATTCAAAATATACAGAAATAGTTCAGAGATATTCCAGGTTTGGTTTCAGACCACCACAATAAAGTGAGTATCACAATAAAGCAAGTTACAAATGTTTTGATTTCCTAGTTCACATAAAACTTCTGTTTATACTATACTGTAATCTATTAAGTATGAAATAGCATTATGTCTAAGCAAACAATGTATATATCTTAATTTAAAACCACTTCATTGCTACAAAATGCGAAAAATCATTTGAGCCTTCAGGGAGTCATAATCTTTTTTCTGGTGGAAGGCCTTGCCTCAATGTTGATGGTTGCTGACATGATCAGGGTGGCAGTTGGTGAAGGTCAGGGTGACCGTGGCAATTTCCTAAAATAGGACAATAATGAAGTTTTCTGCGTCAGTTCACTCTTTCTTTCATGAAAGATTTCGCTGTAGAATGTGATGTTGTTTGGTCATATTTACCCACAGCAGAACTTCTTTCAAAATTTGAGTGAATTCTCTCACACCCTGCCATTGCTTTATCAATTAAGTTTATGTAATATTTTAAATATTTTGTTGTCATTTCAACAATGTTCACAGCATCTTCATCAAGAGTATATCCCATTTCAATGAGCCACTCTCTTTGTTCAGCCACAAGAAGCAACTCCTCATTCATTCAAGTTTTACCATGAGATTGCAGCACATCATTGGGCTCCATTTCTAAACCTAGTTATTTTGCTATTTATTTCTACCACATGTGCAGCTACTTACTTCAGTGAAGTCTTGAATCCCCTCAAAGTCATTTATAAAAATTGGAATAAGGCTGGGTGCAGTGGTTCACACCTGTAATCCCAGCACTTTGGGAGGGCAAGGTAGGTGGATCACGAGGTCAGAAGATCCAGACCATCCTGGCCAACATGGTGAAACCCCGTCTCTACTAAAAAAAATCCAAAAAAAATTAGCCGGGCGTGGTGGTAGTGGGCGCCTGTAGTCCCAACTACTCGGGAGGCTGAGGCAGGAGAATGGTGTGAACCCAGGAGGCAGAGCTTGCAGTGAGCAGGATCGCGCCACCGCACTCCAACCTGGGTGATAGAGTGAGACTCTGTCTCCAAAAAGAAAAAAAAAAAAATTGGAATAAACTTCTATACTACTATTAATATTTTTACCTCCTCTCATGAATCATGAAAGTTCTTACTGGTGTTGAAATATCTTTTTCAGGAGGTTTTCAATTTACTTTGCCTAGAGCCATCAGAGGAATCACTATAACAGCTGCAGCCTTATGAAATGTATTTCTTAAATTAAAAAACAAAACAAAACTGAAAGTCAAAATTACTCCTTGATTCACGGGCTGCAGAATGCATGCTGTGTTAGCAGGCATAAAAACAATTTTAACCTTCTTATACATTTCTGTAAGAGCTCTTGGGTGACTGTATTATAATAACGAGCAATACTATTTTGAAAGAAATATTTTTTTTCCTGCACGGTAGATCTCAACAGTGGGCTTAAAATATTCATTAAACCATGCTATAAACAGATGGGCTATCATCCAGGCTTTGTTCCATTTATAGAACACAGGCAGAGTAGATTTAACATAATTTTTAGGGGTCTCAGAATTTTCAGAATGGTAAATGATCAATAATTTTAATGTAAAATGATCAGCCCCTAACAAAAAAGTCAGCCTGTCCTTTGAAGCCAGTCCTTGACTTCTCCTCTCTAGCTATGAAAGTCCTAGATATCATCTTCTTCCAAAAGAAAGCTATTCAGTCTACATTTAAAATCAGTTGTTCAGTGTAGATATTATCTTAACAAGATACCACTTCACAACCTCTAGGAAGGCTATGGTTTTTCAAAGTTGTTGGATATTAAGCAGGGCTTGTCTTGGTAAATTTAGAGCATGAAATAAGTTCACATGTAATGAGTACCCAGATACTTTTGATGAGAAAACCACAAATTATCATCTGGAGCAAGGATTGTTGTGCACCATAAAAATATATAAACATACATATATATATATATATTTATAGGTAGCAAATATATATGATATATATCATATATATGGAAATATATATATATATATATTTTTTTACTTTTCATAGAAAGAACATGAACTTCAGAGTTAGCCTTGAAAGCAATTGATGGCTCCACCATGATAGATTTGGGACAAATCAGTTAACCTTGCTGATCTCTGTTTCTTCCCTCTAAGAAATAAAAATAATAATACTGGCATGGCAGTGGTGCTATTGGGGTTGTATCTAATACTCTATGTGAAGTGCCTAGCAAACTGTCTGACATCATCACTGCTAAATAAGTGTTAATTTTATTATATCATATTTTCATTGTTATGGCCTATTCACTGGTCCCTTGAGAGCTGAGGGCTGCCGTTTGGCATGGGAACTGAGTCTCAGCTAAGACAGCAGTGAGATCCAGCATAGAAGCTGCGAGGCTCAAGTATCGAGCCTGCCCTCAGTCCACCCATATCTCAACTCTCAGAAACCTGGCAACCATGGCTCACCCATCTCAGGAAGGATTCTGGAGGATTTCCCTTTGGGTAAACTGAGTATGTCAACACACACACATACTCACAGTTTGGTAAGTTTATATATGTACCACAAGACTTCTGAGAGTTTACTTTCACATACTATACCAATACAGTTTAAACAATCACTTGTTTTCTCTACCAGAACTCAGTGAGGTTACTTTGAATTTCTGTTTTTAATGTTATCAGGTATTAACTTCTTAATTAAATGTCCATTTTTTTAAATGAAGATACCAAGGTAACAAATACTGTATATGTTTGAGATCAAATATCACTGAGCTCAACTATTGATAAACACTGATGCAGATTCAACTATCCAACATACATTGATGCTTACTTTTTTAAGAGTCTTCTGCAATCAGATTGTAACAGTCTTGGGCAACAGATTGTGCCACATGATACATAAAAAGTTCTTATTACATGGAAGGATGGGTCATTTTAATCCAGGATGAGGTATATATTAGCATTTTTCCCATTTTATAGTAATGAAAAGAGACAACTAATGTATAGATATGTGATAATCATTCTTACATGTTTGAAGTTAAAATTGCAGGATTTTTTTGGAAGGAGAGCTTGTTTTGAATCGCAATATTTCAGATAGGTTAGATTTTAATGTCCAAAATAACGTGAGACAAAGAAATATTGACGTCACTTTCCATGAAAACATGGAATTCATCTATGTCAGGCAGTTACATTACTACATTGCCTTGCTGAACTCTATAAGAATAGAAGGAGGGCAAAATTGTCATATTATTTGAATGCACCTGAGGCATTTTAACTCTGAAAAAATTGTTGTGAAGAAGAAATCTCTGATTATATGGCTGTCAAATGGAGACCAATCACGGTCCACTTGGTCCCAACTTGCGGTCACTGTCAGCTTTTTATGTTTTCCATCCAGCAGCACCATGGTAAGCACTGAGCCTAATACTGTGGGACAGTGGGGACAGGCATAAACTTATACATCAAAACATACCTGACTGTGAATCCCAGTTTCATCACTTAAACATTGTACAAATTTAAGACTTTTGCAACATGCTGAACTTCAGCTTTCTTAACTTTCAGTTGGGGATAATGTCACATTGTTTTGCAATAACTATGAGAACTAATGAGATTGCATACTTAACAGCTAGAATAATGACCAGTACACATGAGTATTCATGTAACATATCATCATATTAGTTCCCTGTCCACTGAAGGAATAACAAAGAAAGCTCTGAATCCTGAGAAAACTTTTAAAGATATATAAGTAAGTGTAATTTCTATCTCAAATGGGTTTGAATGGTGACAATTAAATTCTCTCTACAAAAGAAAAGCATTAGGCCTTAAGGGAAAGCTTTTATAATGAAATAACCTACTGACAGTTACATTATAAGTGAGATAAGTACTGCAGAAGAGAGGAAGGGATTGGGTCTGGAACGTGGTAGGAAGAAGGCCCCTTGAGAGTGATATCCTAAGACCCCTGTCTCACAAATAGGGAAACTGAGATTCAGAGTCCCTAAGTGGTGTCTCTAAGGTCACAAGGGAATACATGTTACACTCAGGACTGGGGCTCAAGATGGCTGGTGGTGTAATTGGTGCTCTTTCCACCGGGTATCTTATTATTTCTGGGCTTTTATTTTCTTGTCGATGAAGTGAATGAATTGACCTTTAAATCCAAATACATATTTATCTTTGAATGGACTCTGAGACCTGTGATGGTCACTATCTGGGCCAAGGCAGATATACCAGATAAGGCAGTGGTTTGCAGTTGGAAAGCTGAGTTTAAACCCTGGCTTTTTCTGTCTTTTGGGTTTGGGAAAATTACTTGGCTTTTTTTAAGGTTCAATTATCTCATTTGAAAAATAAAAATAGGAAATTTAGCAGTTAATATTCAGGGTTTTGGGGCAACTACATCTATAAAATATGTAATACTGGGCCAGGCATATAGTAAAGCACTGAAAAATAGTACCTGTAATTTTTTTTTCATCGACGTGTTTCAATATTCTTATTGATCCTTGTATCTTTTAATGGAGGTGGGGGACCACGTCTTTAATTGTTTAGAAAAGTACTAAGTGAGGCTTTTACTTCAGGTCAATAAAATCAAGTTCTGGGCTGGCGTAGCCACTTCATACTTAACTGAATTTTCTCTGGTCCAGAGAGCCTTTAAGTGTGGTTCTGGGGACTGAAATGGCAATGACCAAACACAATGGGAGGATGGCTTTCACCACTCCAATCTTCATATATATATATACACACACACATGAATCTTCATATACATCCAATCTTCATATATATATATATATACACACACACATGAATCTTCATATATATCCAATCTTCATATATATATATATACACACACATGAATCTTCATATATATCCAAACTTCATATATATATACACACACATGAATCTTCATATATATCCAATATTCATATATATATACACACATGAATCTTCATATATATCCAATCTTCATACATATATATATACACACATGAATCTTCATATATATCCAATCTTCATATATATATATACACACATGAATCTTCATATATATCCAATCTTCATACATATATATACACACACATGAATCTTCATATATATCCAATCTTCATATATATATACACACGCATGAATCTTCATATATATCCAATATTCATATATATATACACACATGAATCTTCATATATATCCAATATTCATATATATACACACATGAATCTTCATATATATCCAATCTTCATATATATATGAATCTTCATATATGTCCAATCTTCATATATATATACACACACATGAATCTTCATATATATCCAATCTTCATATATATATACACACATGAATCTCCATATATATCCAATCTTCATATATATATATACACACACACATACATGAATCTTCATATATATCCAATCTTCACATATATAGAATCTTCATATATATCCAATCTTTATATATATAATCTTCACATATATCCAATCTTCATATATATATAATCTTCATATATATCCAATCTTCATATATATGAATCTTCATATATATCTAATCTTCATATATATGAATCTTCATATATATCCAATCTTCATATATATGAGTCTTCATATATATCCAATCTTCATATATATATGAATCTTCATATATATCCAATCTTCATATATATATGAATCTTCATATATATCCAATCTTCATATATATATATAATCTTCATATATATCCAATCTTCATATAGATACATATATATACACATGAATCTTCATATATATCCAATCTTCACATATATATACACACACACATACATGAATCTTTGTATATATCTAATCTTCATATATATCCAATCTTCATATATATATATGTGTATATATATATGTATGTGTGTATATACATATATGTTTGTGTGTGTGTGTGTGTGTGTGTATATATATATATGTATGTATAGAGAGAGAGAGAGAAGTTAGGGACCTGGTGGCTGAGAAGCTTCCAGCAAAACCTCCTTAGCTCACCATCCTCAAAAGTCCTTGACACAGACACCCAGGAACATTAAAAATAAATGGAAAACGTTGCCCATGCCTGTCTAAAGTAACTAAGTACAAGGACTTTGAGGATTTCTGTGAGCCACTGAAATCGGTTTTAGAGGGCTACATTTATATTTGTCTTTATATTTTATTGCATTTTCATCGGACCTCAGTCGCTATAGATGCTGCTTCATGCTCCAAGTAGTTCAGCTTGTGAATTTGAAGAAGGCTTTTGAGATAGGCATCTTTTAACACTAAACCACTTTTTTTTTCACACGCTTTTTCTCTGGCCTCTCAAGGAATCATTTTCTTTTGCACTTGAAGGAGCTTTTGTTAAGTGGCCTGGAAGTGAGATTGCTGTGCATCCATCGTGGCAAAATTAATCCAGGAGTGAAAATGCCAAAAAGGAACCAGTTGTTTCTATTCTGAACACTTCCTTCAGTGGTCTGAATGAGAAAGCAAAGTACTTCCTGCAAGCTTCCCTGTAGCTCCTTTGAGAGTTATCAATGCCTCCTTCTTCTAATCAGGGCCATCATCAAAGCTGAAGGGCGGCAAGTCCTTAACAAGCAGGAGACTGAGTCTTACAAAGAAAAAAAAAATGGTAGCTGATCTCATCAGTTTCCAGAGAAACTGCAATTGAATTCTTTAGAAATTATACAAGGGAATCAATGATGCAGAGGAAAAATAATTCATAAAAGTGTTGAAAATGCACACACTCACAGAGTTTGCATTAGGGATAAAAGCATTAACTTTGGGATCAGGTAATCGAAGACTACTTCTCTATTACACATTCATGATGCTTGGGCCACTCAGTCTCTGAGCTTCAGTTTCCTCATATATAAATGGGAATAATAGTAACATGTTATGTATAAAGCTCACAAGAGTAATGATAAGTGGGGAATGTTTAGCATGAAGGGCAACAGGTTAAAAACAATGGCAAATAGAAGAAAATTTATTTTAGTTGGACTTGTGCTGTAACAAATTTTGACCTTGATATAAAGCCTCCTCTGTGTCCCCATCTCTCCTTTCCTTGTATACTCTAGCATTGCACTTCCACTGCGCTGAGAGCAATACTTTCTTGCTTAACTCCTTGCAATGGACTGTAAGGTCTTTGAGGACAATGACCATGACTACCTATGCCTTTTTCAGCTTTCCATTAATGGTATCTGCATAGGGCCTGACATTAGCAGCACTTAACAAAAACTAATTTGATAGATACATTAAGCACTTTATGAATGGATATATCCTGTTTTGTGAACATAACAGAATATTTGAACCGTAAGGGCTCATCTATTTAATGCTTCTTTTACACATGTAATTGCTATGACACAGGAAGACTAATTATTCGTTCACATAGTAACTTGGAGGTAGACTCAGAATTACAGTGTCTATCTCCAGTATCCTGAACATGGTGCTTTTTCTGCTGCCTCACACTGCCTCCCTTCATTATGCTTCTTTTTATTTAAATGTCAGAAAATGAGAAATTAGGGTCTGTGTGGTTTCTTATAAAGAGCTATTATGACTGATCTTTCTATGTTTACATTTTTAGCATAAATCTTTACAAAACAACTGCAATCTTTGCAGATAACTTTAGGTGAAGTGTATTCTGGGAATGTTTGAATTCATTGTCAGAGTATTTTCTGACAAAGCACATGGACCAAAGATCTGACAAAATGCTAATCAAAGACAAAGAGAAGCTAGTACCTTATAATGAAATCTATAAATGCATAGAGAAAAGTACACTGTTATATTTAGGACTTGGATGGATTCTTTTATGTGAATGCATATTAGAAGTTGTTGTTATTGGTTAGTAAAAAATAATTTCATAGCTGATCTTAAAATATGTATGCAGTTGAAAACGTATGAGCCCCTATTTTCATAGTACCCAATATAAATCATAAACTTAGATACCACTGAGTCAGGATTTGTGATATGACAGAGAAAAGCTGATGTTTATGTATAAATTATGCTAGACAAAGAGCTGTTAGCAAGTTTGTTTAATATTGTTAGAGCAGTGATTAAATTGCTTAGGTTAAGGTTTGATTTGTCCACTTAGCTAAAATACTAGTTTTGAAGAAAAGCTACTTATGTTTGAGTTCAGGTCTGTCTCTTAGTAACTGTATCTTGTGATAACCTTATGGGTTTAATTGAGCATTAACTTATTCCTCTGTAAAATGGGAATGATACTAGTAACTTTGCATGCCTCAGAGAAACATAAATTGGGTAATGTATGTGCATTGTCAATGAAAAGATACCTATCATATCACAGGATCAGTCATAATTATCAGCAATAATAATGAGATAATGATTACAAATGATGATCTCTCACCAAGCATCTAGCCATGCCATATGCTTTTGCTTGTTTTATGCTCTTGATATACATGAAAATATCAAATCTAAATTATGTGTAATTTTCAACATAATGCTTAACGCAGAGTTGTCTAATTTATACTAGCCTATTTTCTCATGAGTAGTGAGATTTCCCCATATTCAGAATATGCCCCAGCATGATCTGTGCTCATGGTATTTGCTGCCCTTCCCCAATGTCTTTGTCCCTGCACAAGGATTATACAACTGTGTTCTCATGGATGTAAAAGTGGCCATGTGATTTGCTTCAGCCAATAAAATGTGGATGAAAGTAACCTATTGTCGTTTCTAGAGTACAAGCTCATGGTTTCTAATGTCTCTCTTTTATTCTCTGCCTCTGAACTACTAGTGCCCCAGATAGAGGCTGCTTTGTCAGTTTTGGTCTCATGGAAAGGATAAACAGAGCTGTACATACCCCAAAATGAGCACTTGATATTAGGCATAAATGATTTAAAAATATTAAGTCATTCAGATCCTGGGGTTATTTGTTATCACAGCATAATTCAGCCTAAGGTGACTGAAACAGCTTTATAAGATACAGAACTATTCATGCTACCTCCTCCTTAAAATACTCCATCGTTATCTGTGGTATAATGTCCAAATTCCGTAGCATGGCACTTAAAAATTCTCATGCCCTGATTCCTGCCAAGGCTTCCCCAGCCTCATTGCCTGTGACTGCTCTCCCTCACACTACACCATGCAGCAATTTCAGACTGCGGCTAGTGCTCAGAAACCTTCATGCTGAAACATGCTTCTATGCATGCATGCACCTTACTTTAAGTAATCTTGGAAGATCTCTGAAAGGATTTTTCCTAAAAAAACCCGGTTCAAATCATTCTTTTTCAGGAAGTTGATGCTGTACCTCTTGATCTTAATAGAGATAAACAGCCCATTTTCTATATTCTTTCTGCTTCTGTTTTCTTCTATAAATATACTTAGCACAAGATAGCAAAAGTGTAATGATTTAACTTCTTGAGAGCAGACTTAGGATCACATTTATTACTCTGTTCCTGACAATGCCTAGTACAATGTGGACAGTCAAGAAATATTGATTTACACTTCCTTCATTTATCTTAAGGTGAGATAAAAAACACAAGTTATATGTTTGAAATAAATAGATCCTACTTTATGGCCTGAGGATGTTCCCATGTCTTTCCATGTCTGAGTTTCTGTCTCAGTAACAGCAATTTCTTATACGAGAAAGCCCTTTGAAATCATCAAATGAAGCATTAAAAGTAGAAGCTATTAATCACCTTCAACATGATTTACAAACATATTTTATTAGTTCTCCTTAAGTCCCACTGGGCAAGTATTAATAGGAGTTTATTGACATAAATCTTTTAAAACAGAGTTTTCTCATTTGAAAACCAAATTAATGTGTCAGAATGCAGTTGAAATGTTCTGACCTTTTCTATTTAATCTATGTTAGTTCAGTGACATCCTCTCACCCTTATAATTCCCTCCTGAACCCTGTACTCATGTGAACAACTTTCCAGAGTTGAATTAGTCATATATTTGGGGAGAAATATGAGAATTTTCCAAGTCACAGTCTTGTAGGAACCTTGAAGCCAAGGATTACTTTCCAGCCTTCATTGAGAATCCCTCCTTAACGTATAACTGACAGCGCTGCACATTCCTAAAACATTTCTATCAAAGACAGGCATTATGAGGCCCACTTTCTAAATGAAAATTATGAGGCCTGGTTGCTCTTTCTTGGTGCCCAACATGGCAAGCCACGTGTACAACGGGACAAGTTAGGTGACAGACACAAGGGATTAACAGAGTGGCACTGAACTTAAAGCTCTGCCCTCAGAAACATCCAGACCAGTGGGAAGAGTGCCTCAAAAGAATGAGAAAACAATTATTTTGCCCAGCGTTATAACAAACTGTGCAAATCAAGTGGTGGGGGACAGAGCAGAGAGAGCAAACTATTGTGCCTGCGATTAGGGTAGAGAAAGGGAGAGAAGTAGATGAGGGAAAGGTAAAGGCATGTGATATCGAACTGGACTTTGATGGATTAATATTACCATGGGGATGTGACAGAAGATACCGCATGTGCAAAGGCATGAGAATATACAAAGGATAGTATATTTGCAAACAATGCATGGTTTATCTCTAAATCAAACAGAAGGAGGGTATAGTAATGTAGATGAGCATTCAAGAACATGGTCTCTCACCCCATGCTGCTGCTGTTTGAATCCTGCCTATACAACCCTTCAACTAAAAGCACTATCGCAATGATGGATTTCAAATTTGGGCGGGATTTGTAAACTTGAGAAAAAGATAGGCTCAATCTTAGGAGAGAAGAGAGATATTCCAAAATTCCATAAAAGCAGGCCACATCTTTCTATCCAAATTAGTTACCATTGCAATCAAAATTGTTTTCCTTAAAAGACACAGACCGGCACAACACACATACACATACCCACACATACTGAGTGCTATGTTTCCAATTAAAGAATGCTTAATCAAATAATAGTACTCTCACAAGATGGGATATTATGTGACAATTTTAATGACATAGACATATTTACAATATAATCTTTAAAAATATAGAAAAAAATTGTAAACATTGTGATTCCATCCTGTAAAGAGGCATAAACATAAATTGTTTTAAAAATTAGAAGGGAACATACTAAAATTGCACAATAGGTCTTTCTGGGTAGGAGGTCTCTGACTGATTTTTGTTTTTTGAGATGGAGTCTTGCTCTGTTGCCCAAGCTGGAGGGCAGTGGCGTGATCTCGGCTCACTGCAACCTCTGCCCCCTGGGTTTAAGTGCTTCTCCTGCCTCAGCCACCTGAGCTGGGACTACAGCACATGCCACCATGCCCAGCTAATTTTTGTATTTTTAGTAGAGACGGGTTTCACCATGTTGGCCAGGATAGTCTCAGTCTCTTGACCTCGTGATCCACCCGCCTCAGCCTCCCGAAGTGCTGGGATTACAGGCATAAGCCACCGCACCCAGCCCCGAGTGATTTTTAAATTTATTTTTTCATAGGCTCTGTGTTCACCATTTTTTTTCTCAAATAAGCATGTATGCTTATAAACACACACATAGAAAATGCACATTGCTAAAAATAAAACTATCAAATACAAAGGTGAGTGTCATAGTTTGTCCTTGATAAGATTCGTTTTGCTCACAGTAGGCAAGGCAGTCCACTCACCAGATTTAAACATTCTCATTGGAAATAATTGAATCTTATTATCAAGAGTGCTTCATGAAATGCTTATGATTTACCCTGATCGACCATTCAAATGTGTTTCTACTTCAAGAATTGCCTTAACGCCTTACATAATGCAGGACTTGGTTGACCTTTTATAGAATTAAAGGACCATACAATTAACTTTTTTTATATACAGAGTTAAAACTTAATGAAAACGTGAGGTGAAATCCCAAGACTTAATTTGCAGAATCCTTTCCTACTTCTCATCATGAACTAGTAAGGCAGTTTCCTGCTCTCTCCCTCTCAGGCACGTTGCTTCTGATCAGAACATGATTTGCTCAGTGCATCCAGGTAGCCCATTCAGAAGGCAAGCACAGCAAGAATTCTAGAGGTGTGGAGCCAAAGGAGAATGGGAAAGGTTCGAGCTCCTGGGTGTGACAAGCTCCTCAGCTCTCTGACTCCGGAGTCAGACAAACCTAAACTCAAATCTCAGTTCTGTACTTACTAGCACCATAAGTGAAGCAAACTATTAAATTTCTAAGTCTCAGTTACCTTACATTTAAAATGGAAATAATAGGCTGGGCACGGTGGCTCACTCCTGTAATCCCAGCACTTTGGGAGGCTGAGGCGGGTGGATCACAAGGTCAGGAGATCGAGACCATCCTGGCTAACACGGTGAAACCCTGTCTCCACTAAAAATACAAAAAATTAGCCAGGCATGGTGGCGGGCGCCTGTAGTCTCAGCTACTCTGGAGGTTGAGGCAGGAAAATGGCGTGAACCCGAGAGGTGGAGCTTGCAGTGAGCCGAGATCGCGCCACTGCACTCCAGCCTGGGCGACAGAGTGAGACTCCGTCTCAAAAATAATAATAATAATAATAATAAAATAAAATAAAATGGAAATAATAATGATTGTACATCATAGAGTCATTCAGAAGCTTGATTAAGACTCTGCCCATAAATCATCCTGGAATATTTTTAAGGGCATAGTAAATATTAGTTGACTTATTAAAAACTCTCCCTATGTAGTCCATGTTTA